>NC_000003.12:195366568-195517568 GCF_000001405.40 Homo sapiens
ATCTGCATTTACCAAGATCTCCAGGTGGTTTGTTTACAGGAAACAATCCACTGTTTCTTAAACTGGGCTGCAGACTAGAATGACATGGGGAGCCTTAAAAATTACTAATGCCTGCTTCTTATTCGCAAACAATCTGGTTTTAATTAGCCTGGTTCATCCAACACCATTTTACTGAGAAGAATTCATGAAAGGCAGTTAAACCACTAAGTCACATTCACTAACATTAAAAGGACCACTCTTCAGTGTGTGTCATGGCAGATACAGTCTCCGTAAATGGGAAAAATGAAGGAGTCCTTTACAACAGTCATCAGGACACTCTTTCCGCCAAGGGCTAGATATAATAAGCATTGAAGCTTGTGGGCCATGAGGCCTCTATCACACTACTCAACCCTGCTGCTGTGGTGTAAAAGTAGCCATAGACAATACAGAAACAGAAGAGCATAGCTGTGTTCCAGTAAAAACTTATATGCCCCCCAACCCCGCCAAAAAAAAAAAAAAAAAAACGGCAATGGGCTGGATATGGCCTGCAACGCATGGTTTGCCAAACTGTGCTCTCAAACAGTGGTTTTCAAATGTTAGAATACATCAGAAACACCTGGAAGGCTTGTTCAAACACAGATTGCTAGCTCCCAGACACAGCTCCTAATTCAGCAGATCTAGGGTGGGCTCTGAGAATCTACAGTTCTAACAAGTTCCCAGATGGTGCTGATGCTGCTGGTCCAGGGACCACTCATTAAGAATCAGTTATCTCAAACTTTACTAGTGGTTCTCAAACTTTACTGCAATGTCAGGATCACCTGGGGAGATTTTTTCAATTATATGCTACACTTCAAATGACATAAATAAAACTCTGGGGGAATGGGGATTAGTTGACTATTGTCAAGCTTCCTAACACTGAGTCCTGGCACACAGATCAGGTATTGAAAGGCAACCTATATATATGACCACCATCAATTCCTCCCATCCCTGCAGGTGCGTGCCACTCTCCCACTCACACGGTAGAGTTGATTTTCCTTACCCTGAATCTGGGGTGGCTCTGAGTCTTGCTTTGATCAAAAGAATGCAGAAGTGATGCGATGTGACTTGTAGGCCCAGGCTTTAAGGGACCATGTACCCACTGATTTCACATTCGTGAAGGCCAACTATCACATTAAGAAGTCTGACTAGCCTGCTGGGGAGAGAGGCCAAATGTAGAGAGAGAAGTCCTAGAAGATGAGAGACTCCAAAGGGTGAAAGAAGCTCAGCCAACACCAGTCATTCCAGCCACTCCAGCTAAGGTAGCAGACATGCTGAATCCTTCAGCCACAGTCAAGCCACCCAGCCAGCACCAACTAGAGCAGAAGTAAGCTGATCCCTCCAAGCCCCACTTGGTGGCTGTTTTAAGTCACAAAGTTTTGGGGCAGTTGTTAAACAGTCAAAGTTACTGACAAGATGTTGGTAGCCGTATTTAAGATATTGATGTTTATAAGTTTTTATAGTGATTTTTAAAGCTGCAAACTACTTGGTATAATTCAGAATCTACAACTGCTAAAATTACATTTTGGTACTATTTGTATGCCTGTCTGTTAACTCTCTGGTTTTTTGTTTGTTTCTGTTTCTGAGACCAAGTCTCTCTCTGTCACCCAGACTGGAGCGCAGTGGCTCGATCTCAGCTCACTGCAACCTTCGCCTCCCGGGTTCAAGCGATTCTTCTGCCTCAGCCTCCCAAGTAGCTGGGATTACCGGCATGCACCACTATGCCTGGCTAATTTTTGTATTTTTAATAGAGACGGGGTTTCACCATGTTGGCCAGACTGGTCTCAAACTCCTGACCTCAAATGATCCACCCATCTCTGCCTCCCATAGTGCTGGGATGACAGGCGTTATCCCAGCCACTGTTTGTTAAATTTCTGAATGTAGTAATTACTACTTTGCCAAAGCTATATTAATTCTTCCTCCTGCATTCCCATTTGAATCATCCAAAACTATATTTTACCACAATTTGTGTTATCATTTCATGTTATTTTTCATATTTTTCCTACTAATCATGAAATTACATATCGTTGTTTCCATAGCATCATCATTTAGTATTACAGATTCTTATTAGAATATAATTGTTTTTGTTATTTTTCAGCTGTTACTTCTTCATTTTTATTTATCATTGGCTTTTGGTGTTAATTAGCTAAAGTGTGACTTGATGAAATTTCATTTATAGTAACTCCTAACCATAAAAATCATTTCTAAAGAAGAAATCGGCAGAGCACAGTGGCTCACGCCTGTAATCCCACCACTTTGAGAGGCCAAGGCGGGTGAATCACCTGAGGTCAGGAGTTCAAGACCAGCCTGGCCAACATGGCGAAACCCTATCTCTACTAAAAATACAAAAATTAGCTGGGCATGGCGGTGGGTGCCTGTAGTCCCAGCTACTTGGGGGGCTGAGGCGGGAGAATCACTTGAACCTGGGAGGCGGAGGTTGCAGTGAGCTGAGATCGTGCCACTGCACTCCAGCCTGGGCAACAAGAGCAGAACTATGTCTCAAAAACAAACAAAAAAAAAAAAAAGAGGAAGAAATTAAGTGTACATAATTAAAACTTATTTTAAATAAATTGTAGGCCTTTAGAGATTCAAAAACATTTTTTTAAATCTGATTTTCTGATCATACGTAATATTTATGACACTGACTAAAATGAATTATTGTTTTGTTTACTAAATGCTTAATTTTTTATTTAGCTTTTATTTTAGGTTCAGTGGTACATGTGCAGGTTATATAGGTAAACTCTTATCATGGGGGTTTGATGTACAGATTGTTTCATCACCCAGGTAACAAGCCTAGTACTTGATAAGTTATTTTTTTCCGATCCTCTCCCTCCTCCCACCCTCCACCCTCAAGGGCTTCAGGGACAGTTATTCCCCTCTTTGTGTCCACATGTTCTCATTATTTAGTTCTCACCTACAAGTGAGAACATGTGGTATTTGGTTTTCTGTTCCTATGTTAGTTTGGATAATGGCTTCCAGCTCCATCCATGTTCCTACAGGACATGATCTCATTTTTATGGCTGCACAGTATTCCACAGTACATATGTATCACATTTTCTTTATCCAATCTGTCATTAATGGGCATTTAGGTTGAATCTATGTTTTTGCTATTGTGAACAGTGCTGCAATGAACACTCGTGTGCATGTGTCTCTATGGTAGAATGATTTTTATTCCTCTGGGTATATACCTTGTAATGGGATTGCTGGGTCAAATGGTAGTTCTGCTTTTCGGTCTTTGAGAAATCACCACACTGCTTTCCACAATGGTTGAACCAATTTACACTTCCATCAGCAGTGTATAAGCAAGCATTCCCTTTTCTCCACAACCTTGGCAGCATGTGTTTTTTACTTTTTATTAATACCTATTCTGACTGGTGTGAGATGGAATCTCATTGTGGTTTTGAGTTGCATTTCTCTAATTATTAGTGATACTCAACATTTCTTCACAGGCTTCTTGGCTGTGTATGTCTTCTTTTGAAGTGTCTGTTCATGTCCTTTGCCCACTTTTTAACTGGGTTGTTTTTTGCTTGTTAATTTGTTTAAGTTCCTTACAGATTCTGGATATTAGAGCATTGTCGGATGAGTAGTTTGCAAATATTTTCTCCCACTGTAGGTTGTCTGTTTACTCTGTTGACAGTTTCTTTTACTGTGCAGAAGCTCTTTAAGGTCCCAATTGTCAATTTTTGCTTTTGTTGCAATTGCTTTTGGCATCTTTGTCATGAAATCTTTGCCAGGGCCTATGTCATGAATGGTATTTCCTAGATTTTCTTCCAGGGTTTTTACAGTTTTGGGTTTTACACTCGAGTCTTTAATCCATCTTGAGTTGATTTTTGTATACAGTATAAGGAAGGGGTCCAGTTTCAATCTTCTGCACACGGCTAGCCAGTTATCTCAGCACCATTTACTGAATAGGGAAGTCCTTTCCCTCATTACTTGTTTCTGTCAGCTTTGTTGAAGATCAGATGGTTGTAGGTGTGCGGCTTTATTTCTGGACTCTCTTCTCTGTTCCACTGGTCTGTGTCTGTTTCTGCTCCAGTACTATGCTGTTTTGGTTACTGGGGCCCTGTAGCATAGTTTGAAGTCTGGGCCAGGTGTGGTGACTCACACCTGTAATCCCAACACTTTGGGAGGCCAAGGCAGGGGATCACTTGACATCAGGAGTTCGAGACCAGCCTGGGCAACATGGCAAAACCCTGTCTTATACTAAAAATACAAAAAATTAGCCAGGTATGGTGGTGGGCACCTGTAATCCCAGCTACCTGGGAGGCTGAGGCAGGAGAATCACTTGAACCCAGGAGGTGGAGGTTGCAGTGAGCCAAGATTGTGCCATTGCACTCCAGTCTGGGCAGCTAGAGTGAAACTCTGTCTCAAAAAAAAAAAAAAAAAAAATAGTTTGAAGTCTGGAATGTGATGCCTCCGGCTCTATTTATTCTTTTTGCTTAGGATTACTTTGGCTATTCGAACACTTTTTTGGTTCCATATAAATTTTTTAAGGTTTTTTTCTAGTTCTGTGAAGACTATCATTGATAGTTTGATGGGAATAGCACTGAATCTGTAAATTCCTTGGGCTGTATGGCCATTTTAACAGTCTTAATTCTATCTATCCATGAGGATTTAACATTTTTCCATTTGTGCCATCTCTGATTTCTTTGAGCAATGTTTTGTAATCCTCATTATAGAGATCTTTCACCTCCTTGGTTAGCTGTATTCCTAGGTATTTTATTCTTTTCCTGGCAACTGTGATCAGGATTGTGTTCCTGAATTGGCTCTCGGGTTGGATGTTGTTGGTGTACAGAAATGCTACTAATTTTTGCATGTTATGTATCCTGAAACTTTGCTGAAGTTGTTTATCAGCTGAAGGAGTTTTGGGGCTGAGACTATAGGGTTTTCTAGATATAGCATCAAGTCATCTGCAAACAGTGATGGTCTGACTTCCTCTCTTCCTATTTGGATGCCCTTTATTTCCTTCTCTTGTCTGACTGCTCTGGCCAGGACTTCCAATACTATGTTGAATAGGAGTGGTGGGAGAGGGCATCCTTGTCTTATGCTGGTTTTCAAGGGGAATGCTCCCAAAATTCTTTTTATTTTTGAGACAGTCTTCCTCTGTCACCCAAGGTGGAGTGCAGTGGCGTGATCTTGGCTCACTGCAACCTCCACCTCCCGGGCTCAAGCAATTGTCATGTCTCAGCCTCCCAAGTAGCTGGTTATATAGGTAATACAGGCACACACCACCAAGCCCAGCTAATTTTTGTATTTTTAGTAGAGATGGGGTTTTGCCATGCCCAGGCTGGTCTCAAACTCCTGGCCCCAAGTGATTCACCTGCCTCGGCCTCCCAAACTTCTGAGATTACAGGCATGAGCCGGTACGCCCAGCCCAAAATCCTTAATTTTATAATCTTTCAATAAAATTTACATTGAAACATTTTAAGAAAGCAGAATTACATTCATACAGGAAGATTTGCAGGCTAAACCTCTGCAAACACAAAATAAGACACAAAGTTATTTTACGAGATTAGTTACAATAATATCAGATCGAGAAGCTAACTACAAGGTTACTCAATTAAGAGCTACAGCCAGAATGCTGCATACAATTGCAGAACTGTAAACGTACCAGCCTACAGGAAAAAAATGTCAAGAACTTTGTTAATTTCCAAAGCAGAACAAGAAACAGAAAAGGTGCCACATTTCATTAAGAGAATAACATTTTATGGCATGCCAGATAAACACATGCATAATGACTAATGCTACTCTATCAAAACTTTTTCATTCTGAGTGAAGCTTCTGCACATGAGTAACTGCGCTCAAGCTAACAGCAGAAAGAACACCTGAGGCTGGACACAGTGACTCACGCCTCCGACCTCAGCACCTGGGAGTCCCGGAGACGATCACTTTAGCACAAGACCTCAGCAGCGACCTGGGCAACACAGTGAGACTCTGTCTCTAAAAAAGAAAAAAAGCCAGACACAATAGCCCGCACCTTGTAATCCCACTACTCTGGGAGGCTGAGGCAAGAACATCACTTGAGCTCAGGAGTTCAAGACCAGCCTGGGCAACACAGGAAGACCCCCGCTCTACAAAAAAAAATTAGCCAGGCATGGTGGCACACCTGTAGTCCTACTATTTGGAAGGCTGAGGCAGAAGGATCACTTGAGCCCAGGAGATAGAGGCTGCAGTGAGCTCTGATCATACCACTGTACTCCAGCCTTAGTGCCAGAGCAAAACTCTGTCTCAAAACAAAATAAATAAACTCTGAATATAGTACCTCGGAAGAGCACTGACTGTTTTGCAAACTACCTAAAGAAATGCCTAATAATAAACAGCATGAACCCGGGAGGCGGAGCTTGCAGTGAGCCAAGATGGCACCACTGCACTCCAGCCTGGGCGACAGAGCGAGACTCCATCTCAAAAAAAAAAAAAAAAAAAAAAAAAGCCTAATGATAAAAGTAAAAATGCTAAAGAAAAACTGTGAAACAAAAAAGATATTATGGAAACACTGTAATTTTGCATACTGATAGTGTAGCTAACAATGACTACAAGATGTAAACTTACATTAAGAATTTATTTGGAGCCAGGTGCAGTGGCTCACATCTGTAATTCCAGCACTTGGTGATGTGGGAGGATTGCTTGAGCCCAGAAGTTCGTTTAAAAATAAAAATAAAAAATTTATTTGGAAAACTCTGATGATCTAGTAAAATATTTTACAGAGGATCTTTCATATATAAAAGTATGCATGTAGATATGATACATATTAATCCCAAATTAAATGTTATCAAAATGATAAATAATCTAAGACTATTTAAACATTTAGTATCATCAAAGAAATACTATGAGAATATCACTGTCTTCCATTTCACACAAAAGTGCACTGACTTCCAGAGAACAAATTTTGCTAAAATTTATGAATTAAAAGTAGAATTCAAACAGCTTGGGAGGAATAATTCTCAACTTGCAGATTTGTTTAACACTAGTTATTGACTTTAAAAAATGGCTTTACTAACTGGCACCCTGCTATCTGATTAACTTATATGAAGCAGTCCTTAAAATTTTTGACAATTCACATATACTGCCAGGGACAGTGGCTCACACCTGTAATCCCAACACTTTGGGAGGCCGAGGCGGGTGGATCATTTGAGGTCAGGAGTTGGAAACCAGCCTGGTCAACATAGTGAAAGCCCATCTCTACTAAAAGTACAAAAATTAGCCAGGTGGTGGACACCTATAATCCCAGCTACTCAGGAGGCTAAGGTAGGAGAACTGCTTGAGCCCAAGAGGTGGAGGTTGCAGAGAACCGAGATCACGCCATTGCACTCCAGGGCAACAGAGCAAGACTCTGTCTCAAAAAAACATATACTGACAAACTTTATGGATTCAGAATGTGGAAACATGAGGCTGAAACTGAGTCACTAAGTGAGTCAGTGCTAAAATCTGAATTCAAAAAAAGAATTATTAAAAGTAGGCAGAAGGGGGAAAAGGTAGAGCAACTTCGGTGTAAACCTGCAGAAAGGCTTCATTATTTTATTCAAAATCCATCCAGGTCAGGCACTGTCATCCCAGCACTTTGGGAGGCCAAGATGGGTGGATCACTTGAGGTCCGGAGTTCGAGACCAGCCTGGCCAACTTGGTGAAACCCCATCTCTACTAAAAATAAAAAATAAAATTAGCCAGGCGTGGTGGCAAGCGCCTGTAGTCTCACCTACTAGGGAGGCCGAGGCACAAGAATCACTTGAACCCAGGAGGCGGAGGTTGCAGTGAGCCGAGATCAGGCCACTGCACTCCAGCCTGGGGGCTGATCGAGACTCCATCTAAGAAACAAAAAATCCAATTTATCCCAGAAAATATAAGCATTACTTGTGTCAATCAGAGAAAAAGAAGAGCACTTCCATTTTATGAATGATTGCCTCTTTGAACTACAACTTAAGAAGATGAAATTATTTAAGTTCTAATTACATGTGAGAGAGGAGCTCCTGAGAGTTAGGGGAAAAGGGCAACAAATATTCCTCTGCCTTTTGCTAATATGCCTATATAGGCAGTTTCTCGTCATTAACAATGACCAATAATTTGAAAGGATCATCAATTTTAAATCTTGATCAGGAATTGCTTGAAAATATTTCATGCAGAAGACCTTTTCTTTTCTTTTCTTTTCTTTTTTGAGACGGAGTCACGCTCTGTCGCCCAGGCTGGAGTGCAGCGGCACCATCTCGGCTCACTACAAGCTCCGCCTCCCGGGTTCATGCCATTCTCCTGTCTCAGCATCCCATAGAAGACCTTTTTTTTTTTAAAGTTAAGTTTATTGAAGCAAGCTCAGCCTTATTTTTTAAAACATCTGGACCATGCGTACTGGCTCACTCGTGTAATCCCAGCACTTTGGGAGGCCAAGGCGGGCAGATCACCTGAGGTCAGGAGTTAGAGACCAGCTTGGCCAGCATGGTAAAACCCCATCTCTACTAAAAATACAAAAATTAGCTGGGCCTGGAAGCAGGCACCTGTAATCCCAGCTACTTGGGAAGCTGAGGCAGGAGAATCGCTTGAACCCGGGAGGCAGAGGTTGCAGTGAGCTAAGATCGCACCACTGCACTCCAGCCTGGGTGACAGAGTAAGACTGTCTCAAAAAATAAAAAATAAATAAATAAAAATAAAATATCTGGACATGTTATACACATTCAATACATAATATCTTCCCTAATACTGTGTTTTCTAAAAATATAATTCCATTAAAAAGAACCTTAAAATTTTTTCACCCAGATAGGTGCCCTTATCTCCCCATGAAGTTTTCTCCAGTGTTCCATACAAACATGACTATCATTTTCAATCTGTGCCATGAAATGAGATGACTTGTGAAACACTGAAACTACCCTGTTCTCACTGCCTAAAACCATTAGTTGAGTGACTAAGTGTACAGCTCTAAATTGAAAAATCAACTGTACAAAAAAAAAAAAAAAAAATACTGGCCAGGCACAGTGGCTCACACCTGTAATCCCAGCACTTTGGGAAGCCGAGGCAGGATGATCACTTCAGCCCAGGAGTTTGAGACCAGCCTGGACAACACAGCAAGACCCCATCTCAACAAAAAAATTAAAAATTAGCTGAGCACGGTGATGCATGCCTGTGGTCCCAGCTACTCAGAAGGCTGAGGCTCCTAGGAGAATCACTTAAGCCCAGGAATTCAAGGCTGCAGTGAGTTATGATCATGCTACTGCCTAGGCAACAGAGCAAGACCCTGTCTCAAAAATGATAGACAGACAACAAAAAGAGTCATACATGTTCATAGAATTTATGTAGCAAATCAACGTTAAAGCTGCATTCAGCAAAGATAATAATCAAATAAATATCAAATAAATATTCCAAGTTCCTTATACCAACAGCAAATTAGAATCCAAAAGTGTCATCAATGGAGTCACCAAAATCTCTTAAATTCTAGGAAAATAAGCCACTCTTCAAACCAATTCTAATATCTAGTAGAATGTAGCATACCTGACCTGCTCTGAAAAAGTCATGTGTGTTCACATCTTATAAAAACATATGCATTAAGGCCAAGTGCAGTGGCTCACACCTGTAATCCTAGCACTTTGGGAGGCCAAGGTGGGCCGATCACTTGAGGTCAGGAGTTCGACACCAGCCTGGCCAACATGGTGAAACCCCATCTCTACTGAAAATATAAACGCTAGCCGGGTGTGGTGGTGGGTGCCTGTAGTCCCAGCTACTCGGGAGGCGGATGCACAAGAATCACTTGAACCTGGGAAGTGGAGGCTGCAGTGAGCCAAGGTCACGCACTCCAGCCTGGGCAACAGAGCAAGACTCCATCTCAAAAAAGATATATATATATTGTGATAAAACAAAAGAAGTTTAAACATAATACTCCTGAGGAAGGAGAACCACTTGAACCTGGAAGGTGGAAGTTGCAGTGAGCCAAGATCGCACCACTGCACTCCAGCCTGGGAGAGAAAGCGAGACTCCATTTCACAAAAACAACAACAACAACAAAAACATATGAGTTAAAGAGAAACCTAGGATATTCTCATTCTAAAAGGAATAAGAAGAGTTCTATCCATTTTTACAGATAAATAAATAAATTACATGATAATCTAAATGATTTATTTTATTAAATGACTGGACAATCTGACTCCAACATATGTTTAATCTTTACGTGGCTAATAACACAAATGGTTTTATTATTTTCAAACATCTATTTAAGCCCACAAAGTTGGTAAATGACACCTCTGGAATATCCAGACTTTTATCCTTACACAAACTGATATACCAAAGCCCAACTGTTATGAGCTCTGCTAGAGAATCTAATGCAGGTTACACTATTTATTATCTTTTAGAAAGCAGTTTTTCCTAATCATCCTTTATATTGGGATGCTATGTAATTAGAATTCCAGAGAATGCTACAAAAATAAAGCATTTTATGTAACTAGGCTTTTCCTACATGTTAACAAATGGCTCTGAGACCAAATTTAAATCTTATAATAAATGCCTCATGATTTTATAAATTTTTAATAATGGAAAGTCATCTAGTAAATCCCCTTCATTTTACAGAGGAGGAATGTAAATCTTTTTTTTTTTTTTTTTTTTTTTGGAAACAAGGTCTCACTGTGTCACTCAGGCTGGAGTGCAGTAGTGCAATCACAGCTCACTGTGGCCCCAACTTCCCAGGCTCAAGTGATCCTCACACTTCAGCCTCCTGAGTAGCTGGGATTACAGGCATGAGCCACCACACCCAGCTAATTTTTCTATTTCTTGTAGAGACCGAGTTTCGCCATGTTGCCCAGGCTGGTCTCTAATTCCAGGGCTCAAGCAATCAAACCACCTCAGCCTCCCAAAGTGCTGAGATTACAGGTATGAGCCACCACGCCCAGCCTACAGAGGAGGAATGTAAATGTCAGAGAAATTAAATGACTTCCCTAAAATGAGAGTTATGTAACTACTGGGAGTATAACAGTAAACAAGGTAAGTGTTATCCCTAGCCATCGTCTAATTAACGTGAAGTATAACAGGGCTATGATGAGGGAAGAACTTTTGCCACAAATATAGGAATTCTAGTTCAAGTGACACAAGTCATTCCTACTGAAAAAAATTTAAAGTATTGGTTACAAAACAACAAAAAGGCCAGATAGAATAGATGGTATATTAACTATAAAAAGAAGAAAATTAAAAGAAAGTAAACCAAGGACTCACAATTTCATTTTTATATCTATTAAAAAGAAAATTTCTGAGACGCTGTCAAAAATAATAAGGGAACAAAATACACACTGGACTTCTGGGTATAGTGTCAGACAAAAAGTTCTTCATGTATAGAAACATGTACGTAAACACAAACAAGCTGACCAACATACAGCCTTCAGACCTCCAGGCAGACGGACAAAAAGTGGTTTTTTTCTTAGTATAAAAATTATCTTTTTAAAGCAACATGAGTTTTAGAGTCAACAGAGAGTATGAGGTTTCTCAAGTATAAGGAATAGTGAAAAAGAAGAGGGAGGGAGGGAGGGAGGAAGGGAGGAAGGGAGGAGGAGGAAGGGAGGAAGGAAGGAGAGAGAAAGAAAGTGAGAAAAGTGGAATCTGCTTAGGTTTCAGGAATGTAGGTGCACATTAAGATTAAGAGCACTAGTATTAAAAAGACCAATCTCAGCTGGGTGCAGTGGCTGACGCCTGTAATCCCAGCACTTTGGGAGGCCAAGGCAGGCGGATCACAAGGTCAAGAGATCGAGACCATCCTGGCCAACATGTTGAAACCCCGTCTCTACTAAAAATACAAAAAATTAGCTGGGCGTGGTGGCACGTCCCTATAGTCCCAGCTACTCCAGAGGCTGAGGCAGGAGAATCCCTCGAACCCAGGAGGCAGAGGTTGCAGTGAGCCAAGATTGCGCCGCTGCACTCCAGCCTGGCAACAGAGCGAGACTCCGTCTCAAAACAAAAAACAAAACAAACAAACAAAAAAAAACAAAAAAAATCTCTATTCCTCCAAAGGAAATAATACATATATACCTTGCTTCAAGGCCAGGTGCGGTGGCTCACGCCTGTAATCCCAACACTATGGAAGGCCAAGGCGGGTGGATCACTTTAGGCCAGGAGTTTGAGACCAGCCTAGCCACCATGCCAAAATCCCATCTCTACTAAAAATACAAAAATTAGCCAGGCATGGTGGTACATGCCTGTAGCCCCAGCAACTTGGGAGGCTGAGGCAAGAGAATCACCTGAACCCGGGAGGCGGAGGCTGCAGTGAGCCAAGATCGCACCACTGCACTCCAGCCTGGGAGACAGAGCCAGACTCTGTCTCCAAAAAAAAAAAAAAAATTATTTGCCAAAAGTTTATCTTAATCATAACTTTTCACATTTAAAACCATAAGAGCAAGGTATTATTATATAAAGAAATAGCATAAGATTTACTGCTTTAAAGAAAAGGAGAGGAATATTTCAAAGGATAATAAATTATAGAAAAAACATTTAGTCTATTATGTCAATTTACAGTCAATCACTTATATAAAAAAAAGAAAACTTTCTTATTAAAGAGAAATCAAATATACCAAACACTGCCATCTAAATTCAACAGAAGGCAAAAAGAAAACTATTACGTGGTCAAATTGGTGTCAAATACTAGAGCTAAAACCATAAAACTCTTAGAAGAAAACCTAAGGGTAAATCTTTATAACCTTGAATTTGGCAATGGATTCCCTTACACATAACACCAAAAGCACAAACAACAAAAGACAAAATAGATAAACTGAACTTCAGACTTCATCAAAACTAAAAACTTTTGTGTGTCAAAGGATATTTTCAAGAAAGTAAAAAAGAAAACCTACAAAATGAGAGAAAATATTTGTATAACATATACTGATAAGGGTTTAATATCCAAACTATGTAAAACAAGTGTAAGTCAACAACAACAACAACAACAACAACACAAGCCCAATTAAATAACTGACAAAGGGACTGGGTGTAGTGGCTCACACCTGTAATCCCAGTGCTTTGGAGGCTGAGGCGGGAGGACGGCTTGAGCCCAGGAGTTCAAGACTAGCCTGGGCAAAAGAACAAGACCTCATCTCTACCAAAAACAAACAAACAAACAAAAAATTGGCCTGGCATGATGGCACATACCTGTAGTCCTAGCCAATTGGGAGGCTACAGTAAGAGGATCACTTAAGCCTGGGAGTTCCAGGCTGTAGTGAGGTATGACTGTGCCATTGCACTCCAGTCTGGGTGACAGAGTGAGACCCCATCTCTAAATAAATAAAGGACTTCAATAGACAACAATGGTAACAATGACAGAAGATACACAAAAAACCAGTAAGCACATAAAAGATGCTCAACTGCATGAGTCATTAGGGAAATGCAAATCAAAACTACAATGAGATACCACTTCACACCTACTAGGATGGTTATAATTTTTTTTAAAAAATTGACAATAACAAGTGTTGATAACGATGTGGAGAACTTGGAACACTCAAACACTGCTGGTGGAAATGTAAAATGGTACAGTCTCTGTAGAAAACAGTTTGGCAGTTCCTCAAAAAGTTAAACATAGAATTACCATATGACCCAGTAAGTCTACACCTAGGTACATGCCCAAAAGAACTGAAAACAGGCACTCAAGCAGATACTTGTACATGTCAATATTAGCATAGCTAAAATTTGAACTATAATTAAAATAAACATTGTCATATTACTGCATCCTAAATATGCTAACCAACAAAAAAAAATTAAAATCAAATTAAGAACCAAAAACAAGCAGATTTTATGAAGATTATAAGTATTGATATTTTTATTACAGACTGGCTAATAAATTTTAAAGCACTGATTAAATAATTATACAACAGCCATATCAGTTAAGCTTTTTAAAAAATATAAGAAACATACAGCTTATAAGCTGCCATATTTGCAGTAAACTTTTGCAAACTTTGTAAAGGAATTTTGTGACACTCCCAAAGTAATATATATCCCTCATTCTTGAAGGATAAATGCCCACAAATCTTAAACACACATATAAATAGCTCAAAGAATATAGCACTCTTTAATATTGGTAATTGTTTAGATAAAGGGAATATATTGGTAAGTATCTAAAAAGAAACAGCTACATTTAAAATGACTTTTACTTCTTTATTCTTAAGTACATGCTTAAAAATTTTACAAAGCCACAACTTAAAGGGAAAAAATTTAACTTTTGGGTATATGTCCTTCAATGATATTAAGTTCACTATATTAGAATGGAAAATAATACTCTTATTCTCTTCTTTCACAGGCATGCATGCACACACACACTCACACACAAATACACACACAGCGTACATTTTAGATTCACCCAGCTAAAAAGTTGACGACCAATCAAAGCCATGTAATTCCCTTTTAGTCATTTCATAAAACATTGCGACTCAAGAAAAATACTAAAATGTTAATATGGTCATAGTAACACCTACTTACTGACACTTACTGTGTGAAAATTTATCATTTCTTGAAGACTGTCAGAAAACTTGGTCAAACTTGTCTATGAGAAAAAAAGCAAAAGAAAACCAAATCATTTATGAGCCACTTAAATAGGTCACAAAAATGTGACCTCAGAATTTCTGACAGAAGATCAAGTTACACTGTAAACAGTAACATTTATTTCCAATGACAATCTCACACTACCTTATGGGTACACTCTGCAGAGGTCACCTCTACACGTGGTAACAAATAAAACCCTAAAAATGTGAAAGAATTAATATTGCCCCTTCAACGGTATTATGCTAACAATAGAAATGGTAAATATAAACCTAAGGTAAAATTGTTTTGCGTGTATCAAGATGGCCCATGTAGGCATCTAGAATCAAATCATCATCAAACTACACCCATTTCTTCACCAGTTATTATTTCTCATGAAAGAAATATAACACCACATAGTATACCAAGGAATCTAAGCTAACCGAGCATAAGCTGGCTAATCAGAACCTATACAGCCCCCTATACATACAGTTAAGACGCTGTACTTAGGTTAATGCTCTCTGCGTGCCCCTATAAGCAGCTACTAGTAGGCATGATCTTGATCTTCCTGCTCAGGCCCTCTGACAGGTGCTTCAGCTCACCTAGCAGCAAGTAAACTTAATAAACTAACCACAACAATGAGAAACTAGGTGAGAAGAGCCATGCTAGATAATGCGCAATGCAAATCAACCATCACCTTCTCTTAGAAAACAGAATCATACAAGAGAGCACCAAGGGGTGACCACTTTTCTACTTCTAATTTTAAGTATCACCATAACTATAAATCAGGTAGATGAATGCACAATTCTTTAATGTCTTATTGCTTTTTTTT
Source organism: Homo sapiens (assembly GCF_000001405.40). NCBI lineage: Eukaryota > Metazoa > Chordata > Mammalia > Primates > Hominidae > Homo > Homo sapiens. The sequence continues at coordinate 195,381,870 of NC_000003.12, forward strand.
TTCATTTTTAACTGCAATTTTAGTAATACTAACCTCAACGACAGCATCATTACTAGAATACTGAGCCAGGTCTCGAATCCCATTCATGAACTGTTTATTTGCAACACAAAAGGCTTTTCCAGTATCAATCATTGCAATACAAAGTTTCACAAGCTGAAAAAGAAAAAAAAAATTCATCAGGTTGAAGATAGTTTTACAAATTACTTAGTTGAACAAGTGTTGGCAGTAACTATATGAGGTGACCTAGTTAAGTTCAATTTGTTTCATCGATAAACTCAAAACAGACTAATTGAAAAGTATTCTTTTTTCCTTCAGCTTATAAAGTAAATTCGTAGCAGAGTTGTACCAGAAAAGTTGACCATTTAGGATCCAGAGGCTGTGTGATAACAACAACAAAAGTATTTTGGAGGAAAGGTAAGTAAACTGTATGATAGCTTAGTGATCATTTCAATATTAGTCTATCAACGCAGATAGCTAAAGTGATTAATCAACCATGTATTCAAAAAAAAAAAATGTCTCTAATACCTATTGTTCCAGGCATTGTCTAAGCCTTAGTACCGGGCTCTTCTCTTTCTTTCATCTTTCTCTTTCTCTCTCTCCCGTCCTTCTTCTTTTCATTCCCTTTATCCCTCCAACTCCCTGTTCTTCCATTCCTTCCTTCCTTCTTTCTCTCCTTTCTTTCAGACACAGAACATTTTCTTTTACCAAAATCTTGGGTAAATGTCAAATATTAAAAAACAGATAAAAGTGAAACTGTTCTAGACAAAGGAGAGAAAAGTACTAAGGGGATGCAAAGGGGGGTCACCAAGAAGAGGATAAAGAGCCAAGAAAAACTTTAGAAAACTCCTGAAGGATCTCAAGAGCATAAATTAAAACTGCTGCCCTGAGACCTAGGGGAACAGAAAATGAAAACATCACCTCTGCTCTCAAAAACTCTAATTCTATAATTCTAACAAGTAGATAAATTCTACAGAGCACAAACACAACTACTATGACAAAACTATGCATGGAAAAAAAAAAAAAAGGAAGACCATCTAACGAGGGCTGTGGGGACCAGGGAAGGATTCCTAGAAAAGGCAACAGAAGATATTGCTATACTGTTAAGGGCTTTTGATTTATCAATGTGCATCCAAGAGGGGAGGTATATAATATGTAGCAATTCCCAAAAATATGTGACCATGGAATTCTTGTTAAGAGGAAGCATTATTATATGACCAATATTCCACAAAACCCACTGTGAGAAATGCTGGCACAGATGTCTTTTAAATTGTTTGCTATTTACAATATAAAATAAAATGTCTTGCCAGAAAAACTGATTCTAAAGTTCATATGGAGTAACCACTATGCAAGAAGAGCAAAAAAATATTTGAAGAGTAATAAGGTAGGAACATTAGTACTATATGATATTAAAATATATTATAAAAAGATAGTAAATAAAAGTCTGGTAGTAAATGCAAATAGACAAACTGATCAATGTAAAAGAATACACAGTCAAAAAAACAGATACAAATATGCCATATTTGATTAAAGTAATACTCCAGCCAGTGGGGGAAAAGTTATCTGATAAATGATATTAGGGACACTGGATAGTCATCTGAAGGGGATAAAAAAAGAAATTAAATTGTATTACAGACTCCCAAGTTAATTATAGATAAAGATTTAAACATAAAAACAGAATCAGAAATCAAAGAGAAAAGAGAAGGTTTTTTTTTTCAATAATCTCAAAGTGGGAAGTCTGAGAAGGATGCAAAGCTCAAATACTATGCAAAAAAAAACTGATCAATCCAATTACATAATAAGACATTTCTATAAGGAAAAAACAAACACAGTCAAAAGAAACAACATAGGAAAACAATATTAAGATAAATCACAAAGGACAAGTTTCCGTACCATAAAAAAGGGTATATAAATCATTTTGAAAATCCAACTATTCACTAGAAAAAATGGGTAACATACATGCAGAGATAATTACCCCCCAAAAAAGAGATACATGTGTCTTAAACCCATGAAAAGATATTCATTCTCACTATAATAAAAGAAATGGAAATTACTATTTTTTTTTCTTTTACTAACAGCAAAGATGAAAAAGTTTGATAACATGCTGTTTTAAAGAGGGCAGTTATGGGGAAATAGTCACTCTCACGCATTGTTGGTAGGAGTGTAAATTGGTACAATATCTACAGAAGGCAGTTTAGCGAGAGCTATCAAAATTTAAAACATACATACCTTCTAACTTCGCAATTTCACTTTTTAAAATGTATTCTACAACTATATTTTACAGATAGGCCATATGACACATGTAAAGATATTCACTGCGGTAACAGTAAAATATTGGTAGCAAGCTAAGCGTCTCTCAGTGGACAGCTAGATAAATAAATTATGATATAGCCATGAAAGGTAATACAATTCAACCATTTTTTAAAATGAGACAGCTCTATAACAACAAATAACATCCACGATATATTAAGAGAAAAATCAAAATGTAGAACAGTGCTAATATTTTTGTTGAAATGGGGAGAGTCATTTGTACTGAAGAGTACAAATACTTTTATATACTTAGAAAATTTTGTGAAAAGGCCAGGCATGGTGGCTCACGCCTGTAATCCCAAAACTTTGGGAGGCCAAGTTGGGCAGATCACTTGAGGTCAGGAGTTCAAGACCAGCCTGGCCAATGTGGCAAAACCCCACCTCTACTAAAAATACAAAAATTAGCCAGGCATGGTGGTGCGCACCTGTAGTCCCAGCTAGTCAGGAGGCTGAGGCAGGAGAATTGCCTGAACCCGGGAAGCAGAGGTTGCAGTGAGCTGAGATCATGCCACTGTACTCCAGCCTCAGTGACAGAGCGAGGCTGTCTCAAAAAAAAAAGAAAATTGCACAAGGGCGCAAGAGAAACTAGTTCAGTGCATTCCTCTAGGAAAGAGATTAGAAAATGACTGATTTTCACTGGGTACACACTTTTTTACCTTCAAATTGTGTACTACATAGGTGGTATTATGCAACAAATTAAATTCAAAAATAATTAAAAGTTTCCATAAAAACAAAGAGAGACAGGTTAATAGTAAAATATTACGGCAAAAAATATAGGGTTCTCAGCTAAGTCTGCTTAGGTTCAACCTACTGTCATACTTAAACATCTAAGTGAGACTGAGTGAACTTAACCTCAACAAACTTCCATTTCTTCTTCTGTATCACACATAACAATGGTACCAAACCATATATGGTTACTAAAAAAAAAGACTAAGGGAATGCACATAAAGATTCTTAGCACAGGCGTGGCTCATGCCTGTAAGCCCAATACTTTGGGAGGCCAAGATGGGAGGAACTCTTGAGGCCAGGCATTTGAGACCAGCCTGGTCAACAACCCTATCTCTGTATTCAAAAAAAAAAAAAAAAGATTCTTAGCACAAACTTACTGGCACATGGTAATTATTCAATAGAGATTTGTGCTTCCTTGTCAGAGGGAGAGGTTTTCCTATTGTTGTTTGCTTTTGTTTTGTTTTACTAAGAAACAAACTTAGTAAAAAAAAAAAAAAAAATCTTTATCTACTTAAGATAGAGGTGGCAGAGAAGGGAAAGGAGAGAGATGCTAAAGCAAAGTCCTGAGGAGGTAAGGGGCTTGGAACTGCATAGAAAAAGGGATACTTTTATTATTCAAAGAAGCAGAAAAACTAAAATGGTAAGAACAGATTCTGTTAAACTTCTAGATTAGCAGCAAGAAATAAAGGCATTCCCACCAAGCAGAAGAAGAGACAAGGTCATCTGTTGAGAATGAAGAACAATGTGGCAAATCCTGAGGTCTTGAAGAGCCACTAACGGTAACAAGAAAGGCACCTGACTGGGTCTGGAGGAAACTGCTTTATATCAAGAATTCCAGGAATGTGTAGCACCATCAGTTGGTTTCACCAAACAGTTGTGTAACTTCCCCTGTAGGGTTTTATAGGCCAGATACGGGACAAATAATATAGATGGTCAGACTTAAAATAGTGGAGAATTCTGCAGAGTAGCTATTATGGAAGGGACATGAAAGTCTCTGAAGAGAAATAATGATGTAATAACATTAAGAGTACTCTGAAAGGGATCATAGCAGCATTATTTACAACAGCCACAAAAGGGAAACAACTCAAATGTCCATCAACTGATGAATGGATAAACAAAATGAGGTACATCCATGCAATGATGCATTATCCAGCTATAAAAACAAAGGACTGATACATGCTACAACATGGATGACTCTTAAAAACATGCTAAGAGAAAGGAGCTAGTCACATAAGACCAAATATTGTATTATTCCATTTATTTGAAATGTTCAGAATAGGCAAATCCAGGGACAGAAAGTAGATTAGGTTGCCAGAAGACAGAGGGAGAGGAGAATTGGGAGTGACTGCTAATAGATACAGGGTTTCTTTTTGGGGTGAAAAATATTTTGGAATTAGATAGTGGTGATAGTTGTACAACACTGGGACTATACTAAAAACCATGAATTACTCACTTTGAAATACTGGATTTTATGTTAGGTTAATTTTATCTCAACTTTTTTTAATTACAAAAAAGAGGAATACATTGAAGTGTATTTAAAAATTATCTGAGCAGCCATAAAAAAGAATGGGTTCATGTCCTTTGCAGAGACATGGATGAAGCTGGAAACCATCATTCTCAGCAAACTAACACAGGAACAGAAAACCAAACACCGCGTGTTCTCACTCATAAGTAGGAGTTGAACAATGAGAAAACATGGACACAGGGAGGGGAACATTACACAGCGGAGCCTGTCAGGTGCGGGGCAAGGGGAGGGAGAGCATTAGGACAAATGCATGTGGGACTTAAAACCTAGATGATGCGTTGATGGGTGCAGCAAACCACCATGGCACATGTATACCTGTGTTACAAACCTGCACATTCTGTACATGTATCCCAGAACTTAAAGTAAAATTTAAAAAAAAAAAAAGTGATCTGGAATATCACAAGCGGATAGTGAAAGACCAGAGGTAGGGCTGAAGAACAAAAGCAGTAATGAGGCTGAGAACTGGAAGGACTGGAGACTCAACTCAGAAAGTAGGATATCAGCATTCCAGATTTCAAAGATTAGAACCCTGGGTGATGAGGCACAGAACATAGCCATGAAATAGGTATCAGAAGTAGAACAGAGGTCACCATCACAGGAGTTACAGAGAAAATGAAATTGTCATACAGCAGAACCACATATACGCTGCAGCTATCCAGGAGGAAGGACGGACTTGGCAATGAAGAGGGAGGGAGGCAGAAAGAGAGAAGACTGAGATTTTGCCAGCTGTCAAAATACTTGTTAGATGACACTGATAAATGAGATTCTAACTGAATAATATAAACCTACAAAGAGGGAAGATTTTTACCTACAACAAGATTAAATGTCAAGTCCATCTAAATTATCAAACTAATATCCCTAATTCATTCAACAACTTTTTACTAAGCAATTACTATGTCATAGACACTCTGCCAGATGATAGGAATACAAACAACTTATCTGCTGACTATCCTTGAGTAACATACTCTCCAATTCTTGTTTTTTCATGCGCAAATTAGGGATATCAATTTTGCAATATTGCTATAATAATAAGAAATAATATAAGTAAAACATAAGACTTTGTATACACCAAGTACACAAAACAAATGAGGGTTTTTTCTTTTTCTTTGGAAATGGGGTCTTGCTCTGTCACCCAGGCTGGAGTGCAGTGGCGCACGCACACAACCACGCCAGGGGCACCATACCCAGCTAATTTTTGTATTTTTAGTAGAGACAGGATTTCACCATGTTAGCCAAGCTGGTCTCAAACTCCTGACCTCAAGTGATTCGCCTGCCTCGGCCTCCCAAAGTGCTAGGATTACAGGCGTGAGCCACCACTCCCAGCCCATTTTTCCCCTTTTTAAGGACAATCTCTCTTCAAGGAGCTAACAGTCTGTTGAAGAGACAGCATCATTGTTTATTTAGAATTTACCACGTGCCAAGAACTGTGCTAAGTACTTTACATGTATTATCTCATTTTAGTTTCATAATAATCCTATGAAATAGACACTCTTATTTTCCCCATTTTGGAGAGAAGAAACTGAGGCACAGAAAGGTTGAAGAGCTTGTCCAAGGCCATATTGCTAGTAAATGATAGAGCCAGACTCAAACCCAGCAGCAGCTCCAGGCTTTGTGTTCTTAACTACCAGGTTATGCTACCACCCAAAACTATAATATTATAACAGCTTAAATCAGAGTACATGCAAGAAACAATGCAACAGAAGAAAAAGAGCCAATGTTTGTGTTCTTAACTACTAGGCTATGCTCCCCACCCAAAATTACAATACTATAACAGCTTAAATCAGAGTACATGCAAGAAACAATGCAACAGAAGAAAAAGAGCCAACATTTGGTAGTACTTGGCTGAGATTTAAAGAGTATCTGCTCAATGGGGAACAAGCATGCCAGTCAGACAATGCAACACATGCAGAAATTAAGCCTAGATGGCAACTATGATGCACTATGATGCTGTCAATGACAGAACACCTGGCAAGAATGGATCAATAATTGAACTCCGTAGAGCAATGCCACTCATAAAGCCTTATTCACCACAAAGAATGAACTACTGGTGGCATACATTATAGGCAAAGTCAACAAGCTAGTTTAACCTGTCCCTGGCATGATTTACAATGATACTATAGGTGGAACTTGCCCTGCACAAAGCTATGAAATCATTAACCTAGACTTGGAGCAACCCCTCCACCACCCACATTAGTCCTTCACTGACACTACCTTCAATAACAACCACTTCCTCCTCTCAGCCTCTCTTCTCTATGCTAACTCCCCATAGTTTCTAAAATAAAAATAATAGTTAATAGATTAACAATTTGAGCTGGGCATGGGGGCTCACGCCTGTAATCCCAGCACTTTGGGAGGCCAAGGCGGGCAGATCACCTGAGGTTAGGAGTTCGAGACCAGCCTGGCCAATATGGTGAAACCCTGTCTCTACTATAAATACGAAAAAATTAGCCAGGTGTGGTATCGTGTCCCTGTAATCCCAGCTACTCAGGAGGCTGAGGCAGGAGAATCGCTTCAACCTGGAAGGTGGAAGCTGCAATGAGCCGAGATCACACCACTGCACTCCAGCCTGGGTGACAGAGCAAGAATCCATTTCTTAAAAAAAAAATTAAAAATTAAAAAAAAAAAAAAGAATTTGGAAGAGGTACGAAATATAAAAGTAACTATGGAACTTTAGTGCGAGGGAAAACAGTGATTTTTTTAAGCTGTCAGGTTTCCATGTGTCTTGGTAGCCCTTTGGGTAAGACAGACTCTAGAACGGGCTTATAGTTCTTAGCACTCAATGTCGATACTTCAATAACTTGTTTCAGATTTGAATCTTTTGGTCTGAAGATTCTAGCAGTGTGTGTGCCCTACCCCAAGTGAATAATACAAAGGAAAAAAGAATCCACTCATAACAGCAAAATAATCAGCAAAAACACTGTCAGTGGATTCTATCTGTTTAGGTATTTTAAAGTCTGAGGTGTCCCACCACAGTGTTTCATATGATTTACATGTGGTTCTACCTTATTACCTTACTCTTATTTCATGTATATAATACATATGTAATAATATATGTATCACTTATGTATATATAAGTAATAAGATATCCTTCTTATACCACTCTGTGATTCTAGAAGGACTTGCCCCTCTACATACTCTCTCATAAATCTTCCATAAAATCAAAACTATATTTTCTGTTGTCTACTTTGAGAATTTAAAATTTTGTTTTAAAGAGTACTTGAAAATAAATGTAATGCCTCAGGGTAAAAAATAAAATAAAATAAAATAGTAATAAAAAGCCAGACATGTAATTTTTAAGTAGAAAACGAAGGCATTTTCAAATAATCTCCTTATCCAAAATTAAAATATTAATTTTTACAAAGACTTGCTGGAAGCCAGCTAGCGTTCCTCAGAACCTTTCCCAGTGGCAGGTGCTCCCCCAACGCGGATCCTGAAGTGCAGTGATGCGCAAGAAGAGCGCTGAACTGATCATAAAGACAGAGGGGCCGGGTGCAGTGGCTCATGCCTGTAATCCCGGCACTTTGGGAGGCCGAGGCGGGCGGATTGCCTGAGCACAGGAGTTCGAGACCAGTCTGGCCAACACGGTGAAATCCCGTCTCTACTAAAATACAAAAACTTAGCCAGGCATAGTGGCGTGAGCCTGAGGTCCCAGCTACTTAGGAGGCTGAGGCAGGAGAAGTGCTTGAACCTGGGAGGCGGAGGTTGCAAGTGAGCCGAGATCGCGCCACTGCACTCCAGCCTGGGTGCCTGAGCAAGACTCTGTCTCAAAAAAAAAAGAAAAGGGGTTCTAGCCCTGGTTGTGCCTCTTCTACTTTGTGATTTGAAGCAAGTCCTCATCACTTCCTTGGGCTTTGGTATCCTCAGCTATAAAACGGGAGTAATAACACTTGTCCTATCTAACCCTACAGGATTATTGTAAAAATTAAAAGGATACTACTATATATTACAGGGCTTTAAAAATTATACAGTACTATACAAAAATAACTTATCTCTAAACATCTTCTAAAATTTTGATGTAATTTGTTTACATATAGAACTAAATATAGTTTCTAGACTATTTATATTATATAAAGATGTGTGTTTCATGGTTTCAAAACATTTGAAAACCTTCAGCTTAATATATTTTATATCCTTGCTACTCAAAAGCGTGGTCCATGGGCCAACAGCACGGGCGTCACCTGGAATCCGGTTACAAACACAAAATCTCAGGTGTCTCCAGCTACTGAATCAGAATCTGTTTTTTCACAAGATGGGATCCCCAGGGAAGATCCCCCAGGGGTTCCTAAGCAAAGTTAAGGTCTCAGGAGCACTACGTTACACAGCAATGCCATTTATAATTATAATTATTAAACTAGAAAATTATTTTCAGAAAAGGTATTTCAAATATATACATCTGATTTATCTCCAGAAATTTAAAGAGAAACATGTAAATGAGCAGTGGTTTCAGAAGTATCTAAACAAATGGATCGGAAGCTGTCTTACTCATTCTACTGCTTCTGCCTACTATATAGCAAACAGTGTTTCTTGGACAGACACCAAAAAAATCATCAATAATATAGATGGAGGGAATCAATGTACATTTACCCTTCCATAAAATATGACCATACAGATTACTGAGTATCTATAAGTATTTCTGGTATTAGCTTAAAAATGGAATTAATATTTTAAATTGTATTTACATTTGAACGTGGCCAGACCCAAATTTATACAATGGTCAGGTTATATATGAAATCCATTAAGCAACAAAAAAGAAAGATGCAATCTTTTTGGTAGAAAATACAGAAAAAGCTTCTCTTTCTTTTTTTTTTTTTTTTTTGAGATGGAGTTTCACTCTTGTTGCCCAGGCTGGAGTGCAATGGCACGATCTCAGCTCACAGCAACCTCCACTTCCCCAGCTCAAGCGATTCTCCTGCCTCAGCCTCCCGAGTAGCTAGGATTACAGGCATGCACCACCACACTAATTTTGTATTTTTTTAGTGGAGATGAGGTTTCTCCATGGTGGTCAGACTGGTCTCAAACTCCTGACCTCAGGTGATCCGCCCATCTCAGCCTCCCAAAGTGCTGGGATTACAGGCGTGAGCCACCACACCTGGCCCCAGAAAAAGCTTCTAACAACATAAAGGATGTTTAGTGAGCTTTGAAGTCAGACATGGATTTGAATTCCTGCTCTGGCACTTAGATTAGACTTTACACAAGCTACTTAGTGTCTCTAGTCTTACTTTCCTCATGTGTAAAACTGGGATAATAATAGCATTTACCCTCATAGAGATAAAAAGCTACCAGGCCAGGTGCGATGGCTCACTCCTATAATCCTAGCACTTTGGGAGGCCAAGGCAGGTGGATCACCTGAGGTTAGGAGTTTGAGACCAGCCTGGCCAACATGGGAAACCCTGTCTCTACTAAAAACACAAAAAATTAGCTGGGCATGGTGGTGCACGCCTGTAATCCCAGCTACTTGGGAGGCTGAGGCAGGAGGATCGTTTGAACCCAGGAGACGGAGGTTGCAGTGAGCTGAGATCATGCCACTGCACTTCAGCCTGGGCGACAGAGTGAGACTCTGTCTCCAAAAAATAAAAAAGAGACCTACTACTGTAGGTACTAATCATTATTTACAGCAAACGAGAATCAATGTTTCAAAAAGCTAACTTGTAAAATTTACCTTATCAAGTTTTAGTTCCAATTCTGCCACATCACCTTCTACTTCTTCCAAAGCTGCCCTAGAAAAATTAAATATAAAATAAGTTATTTCGTTTGTTTAAATGTACACTTTACTCTTGAAAAGTAACTCTAAATGAAAAGATAGATATGAATGCTTAAAAATTACACTTCACATGAAGTAATAATTACCTTGGAATTTAGTATCAATACTTCATAATCATGCAATACAACAGGTAATACAATTACTGTTTAGGACAATGACAGAACACATTACGCTAATTTATACTCAAAGCATTAGTATCATTCCAATTAATAACACAAAATACAGCTATTTAGCACGTACTTTTTAAATAAGTGAGAAATTTTAAAAGTTGAGGTGTACAAAGAATTGGATTTCTTGATAACAAAACACATGCAACCAAACTGCAAGGCGTTGTTGGCAACCAAGAAGAGCTTTTACTTTCAGAAATAGCTCAGAACAATACCACCCTTGTTTTGTTTCCAAAGTATTTTTTAATCAGTACCTAAGACTAATTTTCATCTCTCTTCTTCTCCTAGCAATATAATTTTAATACAGAAAAATTAGCAAAGGTTAGATTATGTAAAATGCAGAACTAAATAAGCCAAATATTGTCTTATTGACAAAAGAGAATACAATTATAATAACAGTTAGCACTTCATACCACACTACAAGGCAACATTTCAAAATTGGAAATTTGTCTGAAACAAAATAGCAGCAACTAAGTTTTGGGGATGAAAACATTTTACACTCAAGAGTATGTATAACAAAATGTAATTCATCTACTTTAAGTCATTTATGCCATTTTCATATATCTACTTGATAAACTAGCAATTCTCAAGTAGGTATTTTAAGATTTAACTAAATTTTTAAGTTGGATAGTAATGGGGGATTTACACTGAGTAAGATATTCTCAGGAGACAGAGCTAGGATGAAAACTATTTCCAGAACAAGCATGGTGGCTCACACCTGTAATCCCAGCACTTTGGGAGGCTGAGGGGAAGGACTGCTTGGACCCAAGAGTTCGAGAGCAGCCTAGGAAACACAGGAAGACCCTGTCTCTACAAAAAATAAAAAGATGAGCCAGGCGTGGTGGCTCACGCCTGTAGTCCCAGCTACTCAGGAGGCTGAGGTGGAAGGATCACTTGGGCCTAGGAGGTTGACGCTTCAGTGCACTCCAGCCTAGGTGCCACTGTCTCAAAATAAAACAAAAAACTCTATTTCCAGAACTCCCACTTCACCTCTGTGTGACCTCTGAATAATCATCTTATTGACTTGTGATTCTGCTTCTCCACTGGGTAACATTTATTTTTAAGAAGTGTTTAAATCTCTAAAATAAGAAAATAACTTTGAATTATTCAGTAAAGAAATGCCTATGATAAAATGAGATGCTCTAGCATATGACTGGAGAAAATGGAAGGTGCTGCACTCTGTAGCACAGAAACAGAAATACTTCTTCCTGACTAAAAGTTTCTCATTTGCTTCAGCAACGTTTTTCAAACTATGCATTGTCCCCTTAACCTAGAAAACATTTTTCATTCACATCAGTCCTCAGTCCCTTCACCTACTCATCATTTAAACTTAATTTACACACGAGAACAAATGTATGTGTATGAGGATATTCAGTGTAACGCGTTAGAAACCTAGATGTGCAGCAATAGGAAATAATGTAAATAAATTACCATATATCCATACCATTATGTGAGGCAGAAGATTTTAAATGAGGTTGATCTGTATCTACTGATATGGAAATCTGCACAGGATAGAGTATTATATTGGGGGGGGGGGAAGCAAGCTACAAAATTATATGCATAGCATGAGCTCAATTTGGGAGCATATTTATCAGTCTACGAACTACAACTCTGAAGAATGGGGATTTGATAGCAGAAAGTATAAATAAGGATTTGCGCTTTTTACTAAATTCTAGATTGTTTAACTATTTTCAGCAACTATGCATTTCTAAGCAACGTTTAAAGCTAATAAAGGGGAAAAAGAAGTCCAAACACCATCTCCCCAAGACATGGTCCTCCTGGAACCCCTCAACCACTCAAGCTGAATGGCGTACCCTCCCGTGCCCCTCCAGCACCTCACACACATTCTATCACTGTGCACCTCGCTCACTAGTCTCAGTTCCCCATAGCAGTACAGACACGCAAACAAAATGTTTGTTGAGCCAAGGGAGAAACTCACTAAGTACGCTAATTGTCAGATACCCTCTTCATTTACATTTTAACCTTTATTTATCTTTACTCAGTCTTCCATTTCTTTCAAGCAAATTAGTTGAAATGACCAGTTTGAGATTTAATCGTTGGTTTCTACTAAACAAATGGGTTGGGATAAACTTTTTGTAACTTCTCCAATCTTATTTCACTGTGCAATTCTACTAATTCACTTTTGTAAAACAACATGTTTAAAGAAAGGTAAGCAGCAAGGCACAGTGGCTCACGCCTGTAATCCCAGCACTTCGGGAAGCCGAGCTGGGCAGATCACTTGAGGCCAGGAGTTCTAGACCAGCCTGGCCAACAGAGCAAAAGCCAGTCTCTACTAAAAATACAAAAAGTAGCGTCAGGCCAGGAGTTTGAGACCAGCTTGGACAACAAAGCAAGACTCAGTCTCTCAAAAAATTCCAAATAAAAAATGTTAGCTAGGCACATAGTGTGTGGCTGTAATCCCAGCTACTGTGGATTCTGAGGCAGGAGGACTGCTTGAGCCCGGAGGATTGCTTTATTTAACCCAGGAGTTTCAAGTTACAGTGAGCTATGACTGCACCACTGCGCTCCTGCCTGGGCCACAGGGCAAGACTCCATCTCTTTTTTTTTTTTTTTTTTAAAGTAGGGGGTGGTAAAGACTAAATGAGGACTGTTCATATCATCAATCACAGTACATGACACAAAGAACAAAATCAATTCGCAGATGAATAGATGACTTCTATTCATTGAGATAGAACCATTCTGGGACATATGTTTAAAAAACTAATAAGTGAAATAAAAGAATTTACCCAACAATCTTTCAAAATATTAAATGATAGATATTAATTCTCTGCAATCCTCCCCAATTTTTACGAAGCACATAACTTTTATAAAAATGCAAGGCAATAAAGAGGCCAAAATTATAGACCCCTACCCTCCATAGCTTAAAATTTAATTTAAAAAAATCAAGTTATATACACATTAATAATGAAATAAAATATATGACTGAGCAGCAAAATGAGCAAAACAGAGAATAAGTAATAAGGGAGATAGATGTTAAGAGAAAGGGAAGAAAAGAGAAGACAATGAGCACAGTCACAAAGGTCAGCAAACAATTACCCAACAGGCAAGTTTGACCCATAACCTGTTTTTACAAAGTCTATAAGCTAAAAATAGTTCTTACATTTTTAAGTGGCTGAAAAATATTTTTAAAAAATAATATTTTGTGATGCATGAAAATTATATTAAACTCAAATTTCTGTTCCTCTAAAGTTTTACGGAAGCAGAGACAAGTTAATTCACTTCCGTAGTCTCTATGGCAGCTTCCACGCCATGATGGCGTAGTTGAGTAGCTGCAAGAGAGACCATATGGCCCACAAAGCATAAAATATTTACTATCTGGCCCTTTACAGAAAGTTTACTGACCATTAAGAATGTCAAATATAAGAACATGAATGAAAATCTTTTCTCATATATGAAATACATAAAAGAAAATAAAATTTGGACTTAGCTCTAGCAGTCTGTACTCTAAGAAGCTGAATAAGCCCAGAATTCAGAAAAACAGATACTTTATTTTTAATAACAATACCTTCATTCTCTTATCTATTCATGCATCATAGTTTTTTATTATCAATTGAAAAATAGTTACCTAAAAACATAAAACTAGAAGAGAAGCTGGGTGTGGTGGCTCATGCCTGTAATCCCAGCACTTTGGGAGGCTGAAGTGGGTGGATCACATAAGGTCAGGAGTTCAAGACCAGCCCAGCCAACATGGTGAAACCCCTTCTCTAATAAAAATATGAACATTAGCCAGGCGTGGTGGCAGGCACCTGTAATCCCAGCTACTAGGGAGGCTGAGGCAGGAGAATCACTTGAACCCAGGAGGTGGAGATTGCAGTGAGCTGAGATCGCGCCACTGCACTCCAGCCTGGGACACAAGAGCAAAACTCCATCTCAAAAAAAAACAAATAAGAAAACTAGAAGAGAAAAAAATCCAACAGCAAGTTTACCACCAAGACATGGCTATGAAATGAATGAGGCTCAAAAATAGAACTCTCTCCACTCAGATAACTGCATATTCTTGTAGCAATAAACTTTCTAAGCTACTGTTTGTAAAAAGAGTATACATTAAAATAACTAAATACATTAAATGTGTAACATGAGCATTACATTTTCCTTATAAAATTATTTTAAAGAAAAAAGAAGTATGGGCCGGGCACGGTGGCTCACGTCTGTAATCCCAGCACTTTGGGAGGCTGAGACAGGCAGATCACTTGAGGTCAGGAGTTCAATACCAGCCTGGCCAACATGGTGAAAACCTGTCTTACTAAAAATACAAAAATTAGCCAGGCATGGTGGCGCATGTCTGTAATCCCAACTACTTGGCAGGCTGAGGCAGGAGAATTGCTTGAACCCGGGAGGCAGAGGTTGCAGTGAGCCAAGATTGCATCACTGCACTCCAGCCTGGGAGACAGAGTGAGACTGTGTCTCAAAAAAGAAAAAAAAAAAAAAAAAAAAAGAAGAAGTATGCTAAATAATTATTTTTCCCATCCATTTAAAATCCTTAAAAACTAACAACCACCACCAAAAAAAAAAAACCCTTCATTCCAACTTGGCAATAGCCTTAAAATGAAATTAATAATTTAAAAAAAATTAGGTCACATGGTGATGCAATCTAAATTGCCAATAGCAGGATATTCAAGATCATTAATAGGCACATAAATATCCTCAAACATTAAAGGTGGATTTCAGGCTCTAAGTCATAACTACCTAATAAAGAAATCATCAAATAGAAATAAATATTCAAAATGTGCAGATTTTGAAACTGTTGTATTCTTTTGTTTTATATAATACATGTATTTCTAAAAGCTGCATGTAAATTGAATAACCGTTTAGAGACTCAGGAGAGGTGCCTATATGTATGTGTCCATCATAGTACCTATCACCCTAAGTCAACTTCCTCTTTCAGCTCAACAGCCTTATGTACCTTGGGCAATGCTGGACTATTCTTTGCAAGGAAAGGACAACAGCTGCATCAAGGATGGCCCACTGACCCAAGGGCAGTCCTGGGATTTGTTAAGTGGTTAAAAAAGAGTGACGAAAAGGTCCTATACCAATGAGATTACTCCCTCTGTTTTCGACCAGAAAACAACACAGCACACACTCTAGAAACCTGCTTTTTAATAGAAGTGCTCCATTAAATACTTTTATAATGTGAATGGCCACCCCTTATTAGTTTGATTAAGTTCTGGGTCCTCTATGCTGGGTCTCTACAATATCTCTATGTTGAGAGGCAGTAGAATAAAGTTCAAAAAAAAAAAAGAAAACTTCTTGTGTTTGAATCGCTACTATACTTCTTATTAGCTGTGTAATGATGAACAAGTTGTGTTTCGGTTTCTTCTCTAAAACATAGATAAACAACACTCTCTCCCACAGAGACGTATGACAAATGTTAATATACATGTGAAAACACTAAGTAGTCAGTGAATGTCAGCTATGATTATTTACATAGTGTTAAAGAAAATGCACAATCTCTTTTTGTTTTCATGTTATGGGGCCACCTGAGAAGAAAGCAGTAATAAGATCATCACATACTTCCAAAATGAATTTGAAATAGTCTGAAAAGGGGCAAAAACAGTTAAAACAGGCCTAAGATCAGCAATTAAAACAGCAAATCTAATTTCCTTTAAGAGAAAACACTTCTAGGCGTGCAAAAGGCTTACTGGAAGAGAGACAAAAACACAATACTGCTGTCCCTTTCCAAAGATCACACGTCAAATACAGACTGGAGTCCTCTCCTAACTTCCTAACTTCAATCTAGACTAGAGGACTACATATATATGACATATAAAATGATGAAATATTTAAAAATCCACTTGGTTTCTAAGGTTATCAAGGAAGGTTCTATCCAACTCCTCTAAGAGCCTAAAAACAGAGGAGAACCAACATAGAATCAGTATGAAGGAAGGTTACAGTTCTAAATTTATATTTACACTTAATCTTAGCCAAAAGGCCAAGAAGCAACTGTATATTTGTTACATAATAACCTTTTATAAATATCTCCACTGGCCAGGCATGGTGGCTCACGGCTGTAATCCCAGCACTTTGGGAGGCCAAGGCAGGTAGATCACGGGAGGTCAGGAGTTCGAGGCCAGCCTGATCAACATGGTGAAACCCTGTCTCTACTAAAAATGCGCCAGGCATGGTGGCGCATGCCTGTAATCCCCGCTACTCGGGAGGCTGAGGCAGGAGAATCACTTGAACCCAGGAGACAGAGGTTGCGGTGAGCCAAGATCACACCATTGCACTCCAGCCTGGGCAACAAGAGTGAAACTCCAACTCTAAATAAATAAATAAATAAATAAATAAATAAATAAATAAATAAAATGTCTCTGCCTTCATTGTTTTCAAAAGTTTCAAGGGATGAAATTCAAAGGTCTTTCTTCTCTATTTATTATCTTACAAATGTTGTAACTGCTCCTACGTGCTCAAATTGATCTACTAAGCAAACCTAGCTAGATCCATGAGAAATTCAGTCCTGTAATAGGAAAGGGAGTAGTGGAAAAACAAACTAGAAATGGAAACCAATATTTTAGTCTGTCAACTCATACGAGCCCCTGAGAAAATCATTTAATCACACCAGACCTCAGCTCTCTCACTCTGAAACAGCTTGACTATCACTTCAAGACCTAACATTCCATTATTTGGGATTAAGCATTCAAAGGAAAGCTATTGGGTTGGGGCAAAAGTAATTGCGGTTTTTGCCATTACTTTTGCACCAATCTAATAGAACCTGGATTTGTTTCTCTTCTAAGTAAGATTTCCTCCAGGCCCTTGCTTTTGCTTTCAAAAGAGTTAAGGGAGGAAAAAAATGTTTAAGCCATAAAAAAAACCTCACCAGATTTTATATTAACAAGTTTCATTCATCTTCTCAAAAGTCTCCTCTGCATAGTTCTTAAAAGACAAGGAGTATGAATATAGATGAAAATAGTGGGATTTTAAAAGTGTTTTGTTTGGCTTAATATTTTGGAGGAAAACAGATTTATTTTATTTTTTGTAGAGACAGGATCTCATTATGCTGACCAGTCTTGTTGACCAGTCTGGTCTCGAACTCCTGGCCTGAAGCAATCCTCCCATCCCAGCCTCCCAAAGTACTAGGATTACAGGCGTGAGCCATAACACTTGGCCAGAAAAAAAATTTTGTTTTCCATCTACGTTTGTATCTTTCTAAGCAAGCCCCATTATATTTCTGTTTTACAGATTGTAAACATTACTCTGCCACTTCCCAGTGGGGAAAAAAAAAACTTTTTTTAAAAAAAGTAGCGAAAAAAAAAATCTATAACCCTTTTCCCCTCAAATTTTCCCCCATCAATACACAGTATCCAAAATAAAAACCATCAGGGGCCATGGAGGAGTATAATTGAAAAAGCAACCAAATCACAGCACAAGGTTGAGATGCAAATAGTATGGCTCTGGTGAATGAATATCACACTCTTAAGTCATAACTCAGATATCAACAACCCCTTTAAATCCCAGCTCATGATTTAAAAAATAAAAAAATTTAAAAAAAGGAAGAACTTAAAATATTATCCAGATAATAGGACCGGGTGCAGTGGCTCATGCCTGTAATCCCAGCACTTTGGGAGGCCGAGGTGGGAGGATCACCTGAGGTTGGGAGTTCGAGAGCAGCCTGACCAACATGATGAAACCCTGTCTCTACTAAAAATACAAAATTAGCCGGGTATGGTGGCGCATGCCTGTAATCCCAGCTACTCGGGGGGCTGAGGCAGGAGAATCGCTTGAACCTGGGAGCCAAAGGTTGTGGTGAGCCAAGATCGCACCATTGCACTCCAGCCTGGGCAACAAGAATGACAGTCCGTCTCAAAAAAAAAAACAACAAAAAAATACGTATGTGTATATATATATGTGTGTGTATATATATATATATTCCAGATAATCATCCTACATGGAGAATTTGAGGTGGGAGGAGAGGTCTATAGAATCTTCTGTTCCTGGGCCTTCAGCTTCTCATATTAACAGGTATATGATTTCAATAGTCACTTCCAAATTTGCTCTGCATAAAGACAGTAGCTATATACAGTCATTTTTAACATGTGTAGTGGCAAATAATCATTATTGACAGAATACTAATCCAAGGAAATACTAGTAATGTTTTAAGTGTGATCAGATATGAAGTTATTCTTTTTCCCTTAAAAAAAAAAAAAACCTCTTCTTTTTAAAGTTGACTTTCTACAAAATCATTCCATTTCCAAGAATTCTTATCATTGTAGTAGGCTTCAACATGACAGGAAAATTAAGTTATCACTGCTTAAAGGGTTAGAATCAAATTTTCAACCAAAGCAGTTAAAGTTTGTTGTTATTAGTAGAGTGTCACAGGCAATACATCTAAGGAGAAGACAGCATTGTAAACTTCATGATTCATAAAAGGGGCAGAGGAGATTTCCATGAAGAAAGAACATTGTGGCTGATAATAATGAAAAGACAACCAAGTATCTCAAAGATGGGATATAAGCAGACCCTCAATGAGAGAACAAAGCAAGATGATAAGAATATTTAGGGACAGTTCCAGACAAAACTGTCAAAAATTAGAATCAGAGGCCAGGCGAGGTGGCTCATGCCTGTAATACTGGCAATAGTTTGGGAGGCCAAAGCAGGAGGACAGCGTGAGCCCAAGAGTTTCAGACCAGTCCCAGCAGCATAGCAAGACTCCGTCTCTGTAATTAACTAATTAATTAACTACATTATAATCAGAAACCTGCCATATTCCTGCTTTTATGGCTGTTCCCCATTATCCTTTTCAGGAATTGGAAGTGGTACTGAAGGCACAGAATACCCTGCAAATCACAGCAGGTAGGGAACCAAATACTCAGCCTTGCAGGGTTCTCTCCACGACATACCACAGGCTGCTCAACAATCACATCTATAACTTTCCCAGACTCCTCCATAAACAACCAAGCATCTTATTAATACATAATAAAAGTTATTCTGCATTACATCTTCCTATGTTTTATAATCTACATGCCACCTTCATGCATGATATCACATGTGTATATTAAGAGAAGACTAGGCTGGGCGCAGTGGCTCAGGCCTGTAATCCCAGCATTTTGGGAGGCCAAGGTGGGTGGATCTCTTGAGGTCAGGAGTTTGAGACCAGTCTGACCAACGCAGTGAAACCCTGTCTGTACTAAAAATACAAAAAAATTAGCCAGGCGTGGTGGTGCACGCCTGCAATCCCAGCTACACCGGTTGCTGAGGCAGGAGGATCACTTGAACCCGGGAGGCAGAGGTTGCAGTGAGTTGAGATTGTGCCACTGCGCTCCAGCTTGGGAGACAGTGAACTCTGTATCCAAAACAAAGAGAGAAGACTACAGAACAGTAACGTGAAATATGAAGAGAAAAGCATTGAGTACATAAGCAACAACCCCAGAATCACAGAATCTTGAATGGGGAGAAAACTTAGTAAACTGCTAAATGACAGAACTATTAGATGACAGTAAAGCAGCTGTGTTTAAAAAACCGTTTTACACAGTATTTCATCTCCATTAAGCCCCAGAAATTTGACAAGATCTGTAAAGAGGAAGCTGAATACAAATTTAAGAGCCTAATAAACAGGCTCAGGGTTTTAAAGACAATCTTCACACCATAAACCACCTGGGATGGTAAACTTCGAACACTGAAGCACCTTCTACTCCTCAGCAGAATGAGCACCCCACCACCACCATTTCCACAGAGCACTCTGCACACTTCAAACAGAGCGCCTGACATTCAATTTACTAATGATAATTAAATTATTGGTCATTATGTCTAGACTGAGGGCCTCAAAAGCAGACACTATGATTCATTTAGCTATCTCTAGTTCAGCTAGTTACCAGGTAAACATTTGTTGAATGGGTGATGAATGGAGCATTTAAAACAACTCTGTTATTTGCGGCCTGGGGTCACGCAAAATGGTGATCTCCCTGTATCTCAGTACACACGTACTTATGTGTAACTTTCCAATTCCCTCTTGCTCCAGCCTTGTGATTCCAATCTGCTGTGCCCTCTCCAGCCTTATATAAATGATACTATAAAAGTCTCCAGAAAAAAATAAAAGAATAAAGAACTACAAACAATTGCATAAACCTTAAAACTAAAGTTATAATGAAAAAAGGAAAAAGTCCTCTTTTGGCATACAAGGTCGCACCTATTTACCTATATGTAACCAATATTATACATATAACTTTTTAAGTTGACAGAAAAGGAAAATTTTTATAATACTCTTCTAGAATAATACAGATTTGGACTTCTAAAACAGGCCTTGACAGAAATTTGACAGGAGCTAAGGAGGTATTCGCTCTACCACGAGCACAAAATTACATTATCATGATTTCTTCAACACATACAATTTATGATCAGACAGGATCCTTGGACACTCAAAGAAAAGAATCAAACAAGTTATACTAATCAGAAACAGGGAAAAGTTTAAGAGCAGCAACTTAAAATTTGTTTTTTAAAAAACACCATTCCTAGAAAAATTCTGGCAAATGAAAAAATTTCCCTTTTCTTTAACAACAAACGGCAGCAAATGTCTATTGTTTGGAATATAAGAAGAAAATAAACAATGATCCTTACCATCCTAGAGCTTACATTCTGAAGGGGAAGACAAGCTATAAACAGTAAACATCATCAATAAGTCAATTGGATGGTATGCGATAAGGTGGTAAGTACCATGGGAAAAAAGGAAAGTGAAATAAGGGGAGAGAGGGACGGCTACAGTTTTACTATTTAAAATTGATCAAAATAGTCCTCACTGAGAAAGTGACATTTGACCAAAGACCTGAAGTAACACAGTGAACCATGCAGACAAGGGTGTTAACAGGCAGAAAAAGCCACCAATGCAACATTCCTGGAACGTTCAATAGCAAGGAGGCCTGTACGGCCGAAACAGAACCAGAAAGGGAGAGAGCTGCGGAAGAAGTCAGAATACTAATGGAGAGTCCCATCACATTCAGAACCTTGTAGGCCCATAGCAACGATAACAGCAGCTATACCAGGTAACCACTGAAAGGTCTGCACCAGAGAAGAACCATGCTGTAAAGTATTTTGTCAAGACTCATTCTGGCTGCTACGTGGAGAAGACTGCAAAGAAACAAAAGAGGAAGAAGCAAAGAGACTAGTAAGGAGGCTACAGCAGTCATCCAGATGAAAGATGAAGATGGCTCAAGGTAAGCACCAATCAGTGCTGAGAAATGCTAAGATTCTGGATATATTTTGTATGTAGAACCAAGAGGATTTCTTGATGAATTAGATGTGATATGCAAGCATATGCATGCGTACACCAGGTACAGGTAAATGTGTAATCAAGTATAATTTCAAAGTTTCAGGCTGGAGCAAAAAGAAAAATAGTTACAATCAACGGAGATGGGCAAGACTACAGGCGGAACAGATTTAGGGAAAGAAGATCTAGAGTTCAGTTTTGGATTTGACTCCAAAATATCTACTAGATATACAAGTGATGACTTCAAATAGGTGGATGCACCTGAGTCTAGAGTTTAGGAGAGAAGTCTGAGTTGGAGGTATAAGTTTAGTAATCAAGAGCACATAGATAGTATCGGCAGCCATTAGACTGGACATTATTAAAATAAAAAGTAAAGATAGAGATGACTTAAGCTTTGGGGCATTTTGACATTAAAGGTCAGAAGAACAAAAGGAATGAGGAAAAGAATCTGAGAAGCAGCAACTGATGACATAAGAAGAAAACCAGGCCCCGCACGGTGGCTCATTCCTATAATCCCAGCTCTTTGGAAGGCTGAGGCACAAGAATCACTTGAGCCCAGGAGTTCAAGACCAGCCTAGGCAACATACATACATACACACATAAAATAAGAAGAAAACCAAGAGGGTGTCATAGAGAAGGGAAGTGAAAAAAGTGTTATCAAGGAAGAAGGAGTAATCAAGTATGTCAAAAGCTGCCGACAGGTCAAACAAGAGGACTAAGAATTAACATCAGGTTTAAGTCAAATTAAAATGGCTGAAAACAATTTTAGAAATGTTGAAAAACACTTCTGGCCTGATATTTTTGATGAACCAAAAATGTGCTTCTAAGGAAGAGATAAAATATTTTTAAATATCCCAGAAATATAAAATTATTGAATTATAGGCAGCACATGAGAATAAAAATGTTCCCAACTAGATACCCTGAAAATGAGTTGTAACATTCAGGAAGAAAGGTAAGTAACCAGATTCCCTGCCTCCCCTTTCCATTCTCAACCCATTCCGCGAAGCTAAATGTAATTCATTGGATGAAAAAGAAATCTTCATTTTCTTTCTCAGAAGGCTGAGGCAAAAGTTATATTGCCATATATACACACACACACACATATATATTTATATACATACACACATATATAGTTTATATACACACACGCACATATGTATTTATATATACACACATACGTATTTATATAATATA
Source organism: Homo sapiens (assembly GCF_000001405.40). Taxonomy (NCBI): domain Eukaryota; kingdom Metazoa; phylum Chordata; class Mammalia; order Primates; family Hominidae; genus Homo; species Homo sapiens. The sequence goes on from NC_000003.12 coordinate 195,404,768, forward strand.
AATATAATTATATAATTATAATATATAATTTTTTCTTTTTTTTTTTTGGAGACAGAGTCTTGCTCTGTCGCCCAGGCTGGAGTGCAATGGCACAATCTCAGCTCACTGCAACCTCTGCTTCCCAGGTTCAAGCGATTCTCCTGCCTCAGCCTCCTGAGTAGCTGGGATTACAGATGAGCACCACAACACCCGGCTACTTTTTTTTCTACTTTTAGTAGAGACGGCTTTCACCATGTTGTCCAGGCTGGTCTCGAACTCCTGATCTCAAGTGATCCGCCCGCCCCAGCCTCCCAAAGTGCTGGGATTATAGGCATGAGCCACCGCAACCAGCCTATTGCCGCTTAAACACAGTCTAACTCCTACAAATACAAGGACTGCTAATCTAGCTCTCACTCTCCATGAGACAAGGTACGGACAGATCGAGATCTGTGCTTTCTTGTCTTTCTATAAAATTAGGATTGATTGCAATCCAACTCTATGGTTCATTTTGTATGGCTATGGTTACTGTTACCCTTTGCTGATGAACTCTCAAAATTAAAGGAACACATATACAAGCCCAATCACTTCCAATTAATTTCATCAACTGTTAAGGATGATGTATTGGTCTGTTCTTTCATTGCTATAAAGAAACACCTGAGGTCTGGTACGGTGGCTCACGCCGGTAATCCCAGCACTTTGAGAGGCCAAGGTGGGCAGATCACGAGGTCAGGAGTTCGAGACCAGCCTGATCAACGTGGTGAAACCCCCATCTCTATTAAAAATACAAAAATTAGCTGGGTGTGGTGGCGCACACCTGTAATCCCAGCTACTCAGGAGGCTGAGGCAGGAGAATTGCTTGAACCCAGGAGGCGGAGGTTGCAGTGAGCTGAGATTGCACCACTGCACTCCAGCCTAGGCAACAGAGTGAGACTCCATCTCAAAAAAAAAAAAAAGTATCTGAGACTGGGTAATTTATAAAGAAAAGAGGTTTAATTGGCTCATGGTTCTGCAGGCTGTATAGGAAGCATGATAGTGGCTTCAGGAAGGCCTCAGGAAACCAAATCACGGCAGAAGGCAAAGGGGAAGCAAATGCATCTTACATGGCCAGAGCAGGAGCCAGGGGCAGGGGGAGGAGTTACACATTCTTAAACAAACAGATCTTGTGAGAACTTCATCACAAGAACAGCACCAAGAGCATGATGGTAAACCATTCATGAGAAACTGCCCCCATGATCCAATCACCCCCACACCAGGCTTACCTCCAGCAATGGGGATTACAATTTAACATGAGATTTGGGCGGGGACACAGAACCAAACCATATCAGGTGGATTATACATTCTGTCCTACAAATTTAGCAGTCTTGTCTTTCAGCAATAAACATAAATGGAAAACTGGGTTACCTCTGCTTGAATAATCAATCTAGCTACATTAACCTTAATGCAATCACATCAAGAATCAAGAGTCAAGAATCTTTATACTTCAAAATTTATTTTCTATCAATAAGTCCTCACCCTCTTATTTAAATATCCTCATAGTCTAAAGGAGATTGTGTAATTTAAGTGATAGACTGTAAAACTTCAGTCATGTGTACTCAGGCTGGGCATTTATTTATATTCTATAGTTTATCACTAGATATAATCCACTGATTTACCATGGCTAGGAAAGGACTACAGATACAGTGGATACTCATTAAAACACCTGTTGATTTCTACAGCATCATAGTTGCACATTCCTGGTGGTACCTAATATTACCATCTAAATAACAGAAAACTATTCATCCCAAGACACCAGATTGAGAGAACTAAAAATCCCGGCCTCAAGTGATCCTCCCACCCTGACCTCCCAAAGTGTTGAGTTTACAGGGGTAAGCCTTCTTTTCTTTCTTCTAAGCTACAGGTTTGATCAAACACTCAGTTCCCCTTTTGTTCCAGATAGTTTGTATTTTGAGTAAATATTTCATATGCCTTTATTCTTGGCCCTAGATTTTACCACTTTACATTGATTGGATTTGAGTAAGTCTGCTGACAGCTTTGACAGTTAGTCATGAACTTACCTTCATAAAACTCGTAAGTATACACTTCCAAGGAAGTATAAACTAAGACACGCTACAAATTCAAAATATGTTGTGTCTGACAGAATTCAAGGAGAAAGAAATGTAAACTACTAAAATTTTTGCAGACAGATAGATTGGCTTAAATGCTTAAATATTATCTGTCCTATAGCTTAAATCTTGTCATGTAACATATTTAAATATGTCTTTAATGACCCACCTTATAAAAGGATCCTATGAGAGAGAGAGGAAGGAAGGCAGACAGGCAAAAAAAGGACATTTTCACTTCATAAAAATTTAAATATCTGTACATGCAATATAAAAAAATGCAGTTAAATAATTCTTATTAGTGAATGGAAATAAAATTTTGAAACTAAACTTATAGAAAGAACATTTTTAGTTTAAAAAAAAAAAAAAAGCCACGGGTGGTAGCTCCATGTCTATAATCCCAGCACTTTGGGAAACTGAGGTGGGAGGATTGTTTGAGCCCAAGAGTTTGAGACCAGCCTGGGCAACACAGCAAGCCTCCATCTTCACAAAAAAAGTTTGAGTTATTTTTTAAATTAAAAAAAGGAAAAAATACATTAAAAATATAGTTATAAATGCTCACATTAAAAAACAAGAAAGTCCTGGGCACAGTGGCTCACACCTGTAGTCCCAACACTTTGAGGAGCCAAGGCAAGCAGATCACTTAAGCTCAGAAGTTTGAGACAAGCCTGGGCAACATGACAGAACCCAATCTCTACAAAAAATACAAAAATTAGCCGGGCATGGTGGTGCATGCCTATAGCCCCAGCTACCTGGGAGGCTGGATCACTGGAGCCTGAAGGTAGACATTGCAGTGAGATGAGATGATGCCACTGCACTCCTGCCTGGGCAACAGAGTAAGACTCCGTCTCAAAAGAAAAAAGAAAGATAGATCTCAGAGATCAATAACCTAACTTTATGACTTAAGGAACCAGAAAGAGAAGATGAAACCAAAACCAAAGCTAGCAGGTGGAAAGAAAGATTACAGCAAATATAAAAGAAACAGAAAGTAGAAAAACGACAGAGAAAAGTCAATGAAACCAAAAACTCGTTCTTTGAAATACCAACAAAATGACAAACCTTTAGCTCTACAGAATTTTTTTTAAAAAGAAGACTCAAATTACTAAAGTCAGAAGTGAAAATGGGGACATTATTACCAATTCCAGAGAAATAAGATTATAAGAGAGTACTATGAGCAAGTATATGCCAACAAACCGGACAAGCTAGGTGAAATGCAAAATTCCTAGAAACACAACTTATCAAGACTTTAGTCTTTTCTCATAAAGAAAGAGAAAATCTGAATAGACTTATAACTAGTAAAAAGATTGAATCTGTCATCGAAAATCTCCAAAACAGGCCAGGCATAGTGGCTCATGCCTGTAATCCCAGCACTTTGGGAGCCCAAGGCAGGCGGTCTGCTTTCAGCTCAGAAGTTCCAGACCAGTCTGGGCAACACGGCGAAACCCTGTCTCTACAGGAGGTACAAAAATTAGCCGGGCATTGGTGGCTCACACCTGTAGTCACAGCTACACGGGAGGCTGAGGCACAAAAATCACTTGAGCCCGAAAAGCAGAAGTTGCAGTGAGTAGAGATTATGCCACTGGACTCCAGCCTGGGTGACAGAGTGAGATCCTGTCTCAAAAAAAGAAAAAAAAATTAAGTCCTAGACCTAATGGCTTCACTGGCAAATTCTACCAAGCATTTAAAGACGAACTTACACCAACCCTTCTCAGACTTTTCCAAAAAAGTGAAGAGGAAGAAAACTTCCAAACTCATTTTATGATGCCAGCATTACCCTGATACCAAAGCCAGACACTACTGGAAAAGAAAACTATGGAACAATATCCCTTATGAACACTGATGCAAAAATTCTCAACAGAAGACTAGCAAACTGAATTCTACAGCATAGTAAAAGGATTATACACCATGACCTAGTAGAATTTATTCCTGGAATGCAAGAATAATTCAACATATGAAGAAAAAACAATGTACTATACCACATCAACAGAATGAAGGGAAAAAAATCCATGATCATCTCCATTGATGCATAAAAATCATACTGACAAAATTCTTTTTTTCATGATAAAAACACTTAACAAAAAGGAATAAAAGGAAACTACTTCAACATAATAAAAGCCATATACCAAAAAACCACAGTGAACATCATACTCTACTGAAAGCTTCCCTGTAGGATTAGAAACAAGGCAAGGATGCTGCTTTCAACACTTCTATTCAACATAGCACTGGAAGTCCCAGTCAGAGTCGCTAGGCAAGAAAAAGAAAAAAAAAAAAGGAATCAAATTGAAAAGGAAGAAGTAAAAGTATTTCTGTTTACAGACAATATGACCTTATTTTGTATGTAGAAAACCCTAAAGATTCCACAAAGGAACCTGTTAGAATAAATGAATTCCTCAAAGTAGCAGGATATAGTCAACATACAAAAATCAGTTGCATTTCTATACACATTAAGAATGTACAATCTGAAAAGGAAATTAAGAAAACAATGCCATTTATAATAGCATCAAAATAGTCAAAACACTTAGAAAATCACTTAACCAGTAAGTTGAAAGGCTTGTACAATAGAAACTATAAGGCATTCCTGGGGGAAAAAAAAAAGTACAAAAGAAATAAACAAATGGAAACATATCCCATGTTAATGAATTGGAAGACTTAATATTGTTAAGATGTCAATTACCCAAAGCCTTCTACAGATTTAATGCAATTCTTGTCAAAATCACAATGATGTTTTTTGTAGAAATAGAAAAACCTGGCTGGGCACAGTGGCTCACGCCTGTAATCTCAGCACCCTGGGAGGCTGAGGTGGGAGGATCACTTGAGGTCAGGAGTTCAAGACCAGCCTGGCCAACATGGTGAAACCCCATCTTTACAAAAAATACAAAAATTAGCTGGGTGTGGTGGCAGGCACCTATAATCCCAGCTACTCGGGAGGCTGAGGCAAGAGAATTGCTTGAACCTGGGAGGCAGATGTTGCAGTGAACCAAGATTGCGCCACTGCACTCCAGCCTGGGTAACAGAGTGAGTGAGACTCCATCTCAAAAAAAAAAAAAAAAAAAAAAAAAAACAGAAATAGAAAAACCTATCCTAAAATTCATATGAAATCTCAAGGGACAATGGATAGCCAAAACAATCCTGAAAAAGAAAAGCAAAACTGGAGGATTCACACTTTCTGATTTCAAAACTTACCACAAAGCCACAGTAATCAAACAGACGAATACTGTCATAAAGACAGCCATATAGACCTCCAGAATAGAACACAGTCCAGAATTAACCCTCATATATATATTCAAATGATTTTTGTCAAGAGTATCACTACAATGCAATGGGGAAAAGTCAGTCCTTTCAACAAATGGTGCTTGTAAAACTGGATATCCACATGCAAAAGAATGAAGACCCTTACCTAACACCACATACAAAAATTAACTCAAAAGAGATCCATGACTGAAATGTTAAGATCTAAAACTATAAAACTCTTAGAAGAAAACGTAGATTAAAAGCTTTATGACACTGAATTTGGTAATTTCTTGGATATGATACCAAAAGCACAGGCAACAAAAGACAACAGACAAACTGCACTTCATAAAACTGAAAAATTTTGTGTATCAAAAGACACAGAGTAAAAAATCCATCCACAGAATGGGAGAAAATACTTGCAAATCATCTGGTAAGGGATTAATATCCAGATTACACAGAGAACTCCTAAAACTCAACAACAAAGACACAAACAACATGATACAAGAATGGGCAAAGGATCTGAATAGACGTTTCTCCACAGACGATATACGACTGGCCAATCAGCACATGAAAAGAAGGTCAACATCACTAATCATTAGGGAAACACAAATCAAAACTACAAGATACTACCTGCTATGGTTTGAATGTTTGTGTCTCTCCAAAATTCATGTTGAAACTTGATCTCCATTGTCACAGTATGAAGAGGTGGGGCCTTTGGGGAAGTGATGAAGACATGAGGGCTCCGCCTTCATGAATGGATTAGTGCTCTTATAAAAGAGGCTGAAGAAAGGGTCCTAATGGTCCCTTTTTTGCCCTTCCACCTTCTGCCATTGAGGACACATCAACAAGGTGCCATCTTGAAAGCAGAGATAGCTGGCCCTCACCAGACACTAATCTGCTGGCATCTTTATCTTGGACTTCCCAGCTCCAGAACTGTGAGAAATAAATGTGTATTATTTATAAATTATCTAGTCAGTGCTATTCTGCCATCGATGCAGGAACAGACTAAGAAGCCATCTCACACCCATTAGGATGGCTACTAAAAAAAACATAACAAGTGTCAATGAGGACGTGGAGTCACTGGATCCCTTCCGCACTGTTGGTGGGAATGTAAAATGGTACCACTATTGTGGAAAGTACTATGGCAACACTTCAAAAAATTAAAACAGAATTACCATGTGATCTAGCTATTCCACTTCTGAGTATATACTCAAAAAACCTGAAAACTGAGTACCGAAGAAATATTTGTATACCCATGTTCACAGCCGCATTATTCACAATAGATAAAACGTGAAAGCAATTCAAGTGTCCACCAACAGAAAAATGGATAAGCACAACATGACGTGTGCATATAATAGAATACGCATCCTTTTACCTAATATGAATGTACTTAATACCACTGAGCTGTATACTTAAAAAATGGTCAAGACGATAAGTTTTATGTTATGTGTATTTAAACACAATTTTTTAAATTGGAAGAAAAAATACATTGAAACAATTTTCACATCAAAAGGCACACATTTTATTTAGCTATTTCCTTGGTAATCTACAATATTTTTCCTCTAACTGGCATATTCCTAGTACAGGCCAATTCCAAATGAATAAATTTCTAGATCAAACCACGGAGAGACTTACAGATAATTAACAAAATAAAATAAATATGCAGCATTAAAACTCACACTGTAAGGCCAGGAGTGGTGGCTCATGCCTGTAATCCCAGCACTTTGGGAGGTCAAGGCAGGAAGATCTCTTGAAGGCAGGAGTTTGAGACTAGCCTGGACAACAAAGCAAGACCCTGTCTCTATTTAGTAATAAGGAAAAAAAAAAAAAACTCACAATGAATGTCAAAAACAAATTGTTTTTAAGCTGGATCTTGATAATGGTAAAGGATTATATCATCACTTACCACACAGACCTGCCAGCAAAATGCTTAAGAATCTACACTTGGCTAAAAATAAGAATTGGGGGCTGGGTGCAGTGGCTCATGCCTATGATCCCAGCACTTTAGGAAGCCAAGAAAGGAGGATTGCTTGAAGCCAGGAGTTCCAGTTCAAGACCAGCCTGGGTCACAGAGTGAGACCCTGTCTCAAAAAAAAAAAAAAAAAAAAAAAAAAGAATTGGCTTGTTACATGAGTAAATTGCAAAAAATAAATAAAGAAGAAGAATTGGCTTATACTATACTCTGTTAGGTGGCATAATTTGTTGCTCAGATTATCAAATGTGAGCAGGGTGTGATGGCTCACACCTGTAATCCCAGCACTTTCAGAGGCCAAGGTGGGCAGATCTTGAGGTCAGGAGTTCGAGACCAGCCTGGCCAACATGGTGAAACCCCATCTCTACTATTAAAAAAAAAAAAGTTAAATAAAATAAAATAAAAATACAAAAATCGGCTGGGCGTGGTGGCAGGTGCCTGTAGTCCCAGCTACTCAGGAGGCTGAGGCAGGAGAAGCGCTTGAACCCGGGAGGCGGAGGTTGCAATGAGCTGAGATGGCACACTGCACTCCAGCCTGGGTGACAGAGCAAGACTCTACCTCAAAAAATAAAATAAAAAATAAGATTATGAAATGTGAAATTTGAAGCAGTAGTTAGTAATAAGGAGAGATTTTAAGCCCTTTTGAGCTACAAGAAGTCTTTGTAAAATCAGTCTTGAAGATAACAAATTAAAACCGTAACTGCCTTTGAAATAAGTAGTAATTTAAAAAATAACTTAAATAGTAGAGTATAAGTTGTGTTTTTTGTTTCCTCATAAAAAATTCCTTGAGCACTTACTGGATGTCACGCACTGTACTAGAGACTTAGGAAACAGCAAGCGGTAAAACAAGCCCCTGCTCTCACGGCATCTAAGTGAAGGAAACACAATTAGTAAACAGATATGAAATATGTATACATGTAAGGTATTACAAGTGCTTTTAAGAAAAGCAGGATAAGAGGACACAGAGTAACAGAAGATTCCATTTTAAATATTTAAGAAAAATTAAAATATTCATGGTTGAACAGTTAATGTGATTTTTGTCATATTCCACAGTTAAATTTAGACCTTAAGGCATTTAAACTTTGTTCCTTTTGTAAGTAGTTTTGGTTGAAAGTCTTTGCTTATTTAAAATTGTATTGCTATTGCCGTATTTTCTTTGGTTGAGGTACACCACAGTCTAATTTCTTATGTCACAACATTCATCAGTTCATTAGAAAAGTATAGTCAACAGACAAAACTGTCTCACATTTATTTTAAAGTAAATATTGCTTAAGGCAATGAGAAGCCACAGACTGAAAATATTTACCAAAAAAAATTATATGTATATTTCTGATAAAGAACTGTTACCCAAAATATACAAAGAACTCTTAAAACTCAACAATAAAACATACAACCCAAATAAAAACTGAGCAAAAGGGGGCCGGACACGATGGCTCATGACTATAATGACAGCACTTTGAGAGGCTGAGGCGGGCATATCACTTGAGGTCAGGAGTTTGAGACCAGCCTGTCCAACATTGCGAAACCCTGTCTCTACGAAAAATACAAAAAATTAGGCGGGTGTGGTGGTGCACCTGCAATCCCAGGTACTCAGGAGGCTGAGGCACGGAGAATCGCTTGAACCCAGGAGGCGGAGGCTACAGTGAGCCAAGATCGCACCACTGCACTCCAGCCTGGGCAACAGAGTGAGGCTCTCTGTCTCTCAAAACAAAAACAAACAAAGAAACCCACTGGGCAAAAGACCTGAGCAGACACCTTAGTAAAGAAAATACACAGACAAGCCAGGCGTGATGGTGCACGCCTGTAGTCCCAGCTACTCTGGAAGCTGAGGCAAGAAGATAACTTGAGCCCAGGAGTTTGAGGCTGCAATGAGCTATGACTGTATCACTACGCTGCAGCCTGGGCAACAGAATGAGACCCTGTCTCTTTAAAAAAAGAAAAAAAAAGAAAGAAAAAGAAAAAAAGAAAGAAAAGAGGAGGAGAAACACAGATGGCAAATAAATAGGTGAAAAGATACTCCACATAATATGTCGTTAGAGAATTGCAGATTAAACAAGGAGAAACCACTACACACCTATTAGAATGATCAAAATCTAGAACATGGACAACACCAAATACTGGTGAGGATGTTCAGCAAAAGGAACTCTCATTCTTTGCTGATGGGAAAGAAAAATTGCACAGCCATTTTGGAAGACAGTTAAGCAGTTTCTTTAAAAAAGAAATACATACTTTTTATTTTCTAAAGAGATGGGATCTTACTATGTTGTGCAGGATGGTCTCGAACTCCTGAGTTAATGTGATCCTCCTGCCTCAGCCTCCCAAAGTGCTGGGATTATAGGTATGAGCTGCCATACCCAGCCTACGAAATACATTCTTGCCACACTATCCAGCAATCACTCTCCTTGGTATTCACCCAAATAAGCTGAAAACATATCCACACAAAAACCTGTACAGGGATGTTACACCAGCTTTGGAAGCAACCAAGATGTCTTTCACTAGGTGAATGGATAAGGTGTGTACATCCAGACAACAGAGTATCATTCAGCACTAAAAAGAAATGGAAAAACCTTACATTACAGGTTGAGCATCCCTAAATCAAAAATAGAAAACACAAAATGCTACAAAATCTGAGACTTTTTGAGCAACCACATGACACTCAAAGAAAATGATCACTAGAGTATTTCAGATTTTGAATTCATGGATTAGAGATGCTTAACCAGTATAATCCAAATATTCCAGAATCAAAAAAATCTGAAACCCAAAACACCTGTGCTCCCAAGCATTTCAGATAAAGGATACTTAACCTGTACTAAGTAAAAGACGCCAATCTTTAAAAGCTATACACTGTATTTCAACAACATGACATTCTAAAAAAAGACAAAAACTATGGAGACAGTAAAAATATCAGTAGCTGCTGGGAGTTGGGGTAAAGGGAGGGATGAATCAGTAAAGCCCAGAGAATTTTAAGGCAGCGAAACTAACTGCATGATCCTATAATGGTAGCTACATGTCATTATACATTTATCTAAACATCAAGAATGAACGTTAATGGAAACCATGGACTTTGGGTGATAATAATGTATCAATGTAGGCTCAATGCTTGTAACAAATGTATCATTCTGGTACAGGATGTTGATAGTGGGGAAGGTTCTATGTGTCAGAGCAGAGAATATAATAATTCTCTGTACTTTCTGCTCAATTTTGCTGTGAAACTAAAGCAGCTCTAAAAAAGTCTTTTTTTTTTTTTTTGAGATGGAGTCTTGCTCTGTTGCCAGGCTGGAAGTGCAGTGCTGCAATGGCTCACTGCAACCTCCGCCTCCCACGTTCAAGAGATTCTCCTGCCTCAGCCTCCCGAGTAACTGGGACTACGGGCGTGCACCACCATGCCCAGCTAATTTTTGCATTTTTAGTAGAGACGGGATTTCACCATGTTGGCCAGGCTGGTCTCGATCTCTTGACCTCGTGATTTGCTGGCCTCGGCCTCCCAAAGTGCTGGGATTACAGGCCTGAGCCACCATGCCCAGCCAAGTCCATTTTTTAAAAAAGTAAATATTGTCTTCAGCCAAAAAAGGTAAGTTCTTTTTATTAAAGAGATACCAGATAAACCACTTACTGACACTTGTATCATTTATTTTTAAATATTTTCAGATATATGACTTTATTGCATACCACTGATTTGATAAATTTTTGTATGTGCAAAAGATAAAAACTTTATTTAGAAAAAATAAAATATATATGCAAAATGATAAATGTATTTTTATGAGTCAGTAAATTTTTTAAAATTTCAAGTCATAGAAGGTGAAATTTTAGGATGAAAAAAACGCTAAAAAGGTGAATACAACCCACAGATTGGGAGGTGTGATTTTTATTAACAAAGGATTAGACTATCTACAAATTCTACAAATCAAAAAGAAATGGACAAACAGGCCAATAGAAAAATAAGAAGAAAATATAAATAGGCAACTTATAGAAGAGGAAATATGAATGAACAATTAACATGAAAAGATGCTCAATGTCAGATGGGCGTGGTGGCTCACGCCTGTAATCCCAGCACTTTGGGAGGCCGAGGTGGGAGGATCATGAGGTAAGGAGTTCGAGACCGCCCTGGCTAACACGGTGAAACCCTGTCTCTACTAAAAATACAAAAAGTTAGCCGGCATGGTGGCACATGCCTGTAGTCCCAGCTACTTGGGAGGCTGAGGCAGGAGAATCGCTTGAACCCAGGAGGCGGAGGCTGCAGTGAGCCAAGACTGCGCTATTGCACTCTGGCCTGGTGACAGAGCAAGACGCCGTCAAAAAAAAAAAAAAAATCCTCAACATCACCATCGGTTAAGAAACACAAATTTAAAATCACGAAATACCATTTCACATCCATCAGATTAGCAAAAGTTTTAAAATCTGGCCATACAAAACATAGGAGAGGATATGAAACATACACCATCTCCTATATAGCTTGTAGGAGTGTATACTGATATAACACCTTTAGAAAGCATTTGGCACATACCCTTCAACTTGGTAGTTCACTCCCTAGCTCTCACATGTGCACAAAGATACATGGAAATGTCATATTAACACTATGAACACAGTGTTCATTTTTCACAAAGAAAAATAGGAAATGAATATCCAGAAGACAATGGATAACTGCAATGAAGTATTTTCTTATAATGAATTTCCAAGTAGCACAAAAACTTTGAAAATAAAACTAAAGGAATGTGTCAATTTGGTTGAATCTCACAACACTAGAAGAACACGTCCAACAAAAGAGCAGCTCTTTCAACTTAAGTTTAATATGTATCTATCTTAAAATGTAAAAGAAATTATCCTCACTTGTAAAAACCAATTTGCCTTCAAGACCATAAATATCAAGATCTCAAGTCTTTTTTTTTTAAGAGACAGGGTCTCTGTCACCCATGCTGAAATACAGTGACACAATAATGACTCACTGCAGCCTCAACTCCTGTGCTCAAGCAATCCTGCCTCAGCCGCCTGAATACCTGGGACTACAGCTGGGCATCACAATGCCTGGCTAATTTTTTTTTTTTTTTTTTTTTTTTTTTACTTTTTGCAGTGAGTGGGTCTCCCATTGTTGCCCTAGCTGGTTGTGAACTCCTGGCCTCGAGCAGTCCTCCCGCCTTAGCCTCCCAAAGTGCTGACATTACAGGCATGAGCCACCACACCTGGCCTCAAATCTTTATCTCCAACCTAGATCTCTCTCAGAGCTTTCAGACTGCCTAATGAACATCTCTACCTGAATGTACCATGCATAACTCAAAAACGGGCATCAAATTCTCCAAAAATCTGTTGTTCTCTCTGTGAGCAGCAACACCATTCACAGTTGCTCAAGACATAAATCTAGACATCATCCTGAATTCCTTCTTCCTCATGCCCCATATCCAAGCAATCACAATGTCCTATTATCATTCTACCTCCTAAATACCTTGATGCTATCTCACTCTTATCTCCACTAACTACCAAAAGCGGACCATCATTTCTTCTCACCTGGATTATAGCAACCACCTTCTAAAGGACTCTCTTGCCCCAATGAAGTTAATGACGTCGACACACTGCAAGTACCATGTTCTTTAAGAAGCATAAATATGATCAAGAAACTGTCAACAGCTGGGTACAGTGGCTCACACCTGTAATCCTAGCACTTTGGGAGGCCAAGGTAGGAGGATTACCTGAGCCCAGGAGTTCAAGGCCAGCCTGGGCAACATACAGAAACTCCATCTCTACAAAAAATTTTAAAAATTAGCCAGGCATGGTGGTATGCACCTGTAGTCCCAGCTATTGAGGAGGCTAAGGTGGGAGGATCGCTTGAGTCTTGGAGTTCAAGGTTGCAGTGAGCCACAATCACACCCCAGCCTGGGTGACAGAGGGAGATCCTGTCTCAAAAAAAAAAAAAGATAGTATCACCTACTACTTAATATTTTTCTATGGCACTCCACTATCCTCAGGTTACAGTCCTTAATGTGACTCAAAAGGCCCATGATCTGACCCTTATTTAAAACGCCTCCGTCTTCCACATCCTATACTTTTCCTGCATTTGGGCCTTTGGACTTACAGTTCTCTCTGCCAGAAGCCCTCTTCTCTTCTTAAACTGTACTTCACGTTGGTAATTCCAAATTCGTCTTTCACCTGTCAATTTAAATATTCCTTACCTTAAGAAGCTTTCCTTTCCTATGCAAGACAGAGGTCTTTCTCATCCTCTCCCACAGTTCCCAGGATTCACTTAAATTATATCACTTACACTGTAATTTAAGTGTCCATCTGCTTTTCAATAATCCCAATATGACAAGCTACATGAGGGCAGAGACAGGAGTCTTGCTCACCATTAAAGCTGCAAAACCTAGCTCAAAGGATTAAAAGGTAGAATTTCCTTCAAAAAGGAAGAAACTGCTGTTTTGTTGTTCTTGCCAGGGCAGGGGTGCGGTGGTACCATCACAGCTCACTGCAGCCTCAAACTCCAAGGCTCAAGTAATTCTCCAACCTCATGCTTCAGCCTCTCAGGTAGCTGGGACTACAGACACACGCCTCCACACCCAGCTAACTTTTCAATTTTTGTAGAAACAGGTCAGGCTATGTTGCCCAGTCTGGTCTCAAACACCTGGCCTCAAGCAATCCTCCCACCACGGCGTCCCCAAGTGCTGGGATTACAGGCATGAGCCACCGCACCCAGGCCAAGTAACTGCTCTATCAATTTGCCATTAACTTGTTTCAGGTCCTTGCTCGGTCTGCCTTAAAACGCAGCTTCAAGATTGTTTATAATAGTTGCTTAACTATTAAAGAGATAAACAATAAGTCCAGATAAAAACACTGTCCTACATAAGTGTTTTGTAGTGACTACCACACCCTAAATATTATATATGGGGCTATTCAAAAATATTGAGACACTATATAATAACATGGAGATGCTTGCAAGAGACTGTATTGTTTTCTATTCTGTTTCTTTGCTTCAATTTCCTTTTTTTATGATATTAGCCCATTTTCTACTGAGGTAGTATCAGCATAAAAAAATGTTTAGCTGCCTTATCGAGACAAAATTCAAATACCATACCCATTTGAAGTGTACAATTCAATAGTTTTTAATATACTCAGAGTTGTGCACCCATCACCCCAGTCTAATTTTAGAACATTTCATCATCCCAAAAAGAAATCCCATACCCATTAGCAGTCACTTCCCATTACCTCTTTCCCTGCGCCCAGCCCTAGGCAACCATTAATCGACTTTCTGTCTGGGTAGATCGGCCTATATGCAACATTTCATTCAACTGGAATTGCAGGACATTTTTCCGTGCTCTCCAAATACATAGGATTTGAAAGTTATTTCACTTTTTTTCAAATATTTTCCTATCTTTCACTTACTGGGGGAGAAGAAATTTTTTCTTTAAGACTAGTTAAATGCAGTAGTGAGAAGAGGGGAAGGAGCAGAACAAGGAGATCAATCTGTAACTGACTGAACAATCAACTGAGATCACTGACTACCTTCAGACCAGCCAGGGGGAGGGGTAATATTTTTATATAGTAAAATCTATTTCAAGGCATTTGTCTTTGGTGTCATGCTTAGACAGACTGTCCTGGTCCCAAGCTAGCATACATTTTCATGTATATTTTCCAATACTACATTCACAGCTTCAATTTTAACATCTAAAGCATTACTCCATCTAAAATTTATTCTAGGGAAATGTATGTAACCTACCCAAACAGCCAGTTGTCTCTCATTATTATCTAGTAACTATCCTTTTCCCCTTGATTTTAAATAACACCTTCACCATTCTCTAAAGTCTTACATACATCGGAGTCTGTCTTTGGATTTTTAAAACTTCTGTTCATCTGTCTGTTCTAGGATCAATCTCTATACTTCAACAATACATTTTAAAGTTTGATATGGGACATTGTCCTCATTGCTCTTATTTTTCAAAATCTTGGCTAGTCTTGCATGTTTGTTCTTTTATATAAACTTTAAAATGCTGACTGACATTGCATTTATATTTATACATTAGAAAGAATTTATACTTTTGCAATGTCGAGTCTTCATGTAACAGATATGATTCCTTACTCATATTTCCCCCTTTCTGTCAAGTTTTATAGTTGTTTTATAAATTATGAAGTCCTATAAATTTTATGTTAATTTCATTTCTATTTATAGTTTTTGTTATTAATATAAATGGAATTTCACCTCTACTTATTTCCTATCTGCTTACTGGTATAAAGTTCCTAACTTTATTTAATGTATACACACGCTTGGAGGACTTTTTGAATTATTTTATTCATTTTCATTATATCTTTTTCTTGTTCTGTTTTGTTTTGGTTTTTTTGAGACGGAGTCTCACTCTGTCTCCCAGGCTGGAGTGCAGTGGCGCAATCTCGGCTCACTGCAAGCTCCGCCTCCCGGGTTCACGCCATTCTCCTGCCTCAGCCTCCCAAGTAGCTGGGACTATAGGCGCGTGCCACCACACCCGGCTAATTTTTTGTACTTTTAGTAGAGATGGGGTTTCACCGTGTTAGATGGTCTCGATCTCCTGACCTCGTGATTCACCCGCCTCGGCCTCCCAAAGTGCTGGAATTACAGGCGTGAGCCACTGCGCCCGGCCTGCAATTTTGTTTTTGTTTTTGAGATGGAGTCTTGCTCTGTCTGGGCTGGAGTGCAGTGGCGCCATCTCAGCTCACTGCAACCTCCAGCTCCCAGGTTCAAGTGATTCTCCCGCCTCAGCCTCCCAAGTAGAAGGGATTACGGGCACGAGCCACCATGCCCAGCTAATTTTTTGTATTTTTAGTAGAGACAGGGTTTCACCATGTTGGCCAGGCTGGTCTCCAACTCCTGACCTCAAGTGATCCACCTATCTCAGCCTTCCAAAGTGCTGGGATTACAGGTGTGAGCCGCCGCACCTGGCCCTATTGCAATTTTGAATGATTTACTTGTTCTATAGTGATAGAATAAGGAATAGGGTTATAGACAGCCAATGGAAAACTATGCCTTGCCTTTTTAACCATTAGGTTAAACAGAGGAAAGGACTAAAAATCACTGTGCTTTATTATTATCTGTTTATATATAATGAATTATATGTAATTCAGCCTGATAATTCTGAGACCTTTAGAACAGTGGTCCTTAAAGGTTCACATCAGAATCACCTAGACAGCATTTTGAAAGTATCTATGCCTGAGTCCTATTCACCTCTAGAAGTTTTCATTCAGTAGGTCTGGGGCAGAGTCCAAACAAAGGCATTTTGGAAGAAGCTCCTCAGGTGATTCTGATGTGCATCGCCTATTTGACTTCTCAAATGATGAAATAAACATTAAAATAAACCAAATGAAAACATTCATAATATAGAAGGCAAAGATCTTGACACAAAGTCATCCGTTATCTTTCTTAGGATCAAACTCTACCTTCATAACAGTGTCTTACTTTTACCTCAATGATCACTACTAGCACCTGTCGCCAGGATACAGCTGCTGCGTTCAAACCAAAAGAGATGCCATTGTTTGTATTTGTTGGAATCATAGGAAAGCAGTACTAGTAATGCATTAGTGCTGTAGTCATAGGAAAGATTACATACTGCTTACACAATAGCTGATTGATGAGCAAGAAATCTCCTCTACAATAGTTGCTGTACAATTGTGAGTGGTGGTTTGAATTAAACAGTTTTGTAATTTGTACGGAAGTTTTCTATTGTCACAGTTAGTTTTCTTCCATACCTAAAAGATTTGAGTTTTTAAATGAATACTGTAAAAGCAAGATTTTTGTTTTAATTTCCTTTCATACTTCACCTGGAAAGATTATTTCTAAATACCTTAAAATATGTTCTTTTCAAGAGATTCAGAAATATATAGTAAGTTATTCTTGCTATGAATTCTTTTCCTAACCAAATATTTAGAAACAAGTTCCTTTGTTATATACATCTTGACACTATTATATAAAGAACATTTCTGCTATTCTGTTATATCCAAAATGGAAGTTTTGGATACCAGACAACTTTCACATACAAGTTAACCTTCCAGTTCATTTTTTGTGTATCGAAAAAAAATGAGGTATCAGAGGTTATGTTTTTTAACCTCTTATGAAATGAATCAAGACACAAAAACAGAGAAGTGTATAATGTACTCCCTTGTACCCAATACCTAGTTTCAATGATCAGAACTTTGCCATTCCTGCTTCATATACTCCTGTCCCTTTTTTTAACTGATGTATTTTAAAGCAAATCCTAGATGCTGTATTATTTTATTGATCCTTAACAGATAAGATTTTTTAACAGAGCCTCTTTATCATTATCACACATAATAATAACAAAAAATCCTTAATGTCTCACTCTCATTTCATGATTGACTCTCCCTTACTGTCTCTGAAAGTATTTTTACACTTAGTTTTCCTCAAGGTTGTATCTTTTTGTTCCATATTGTGACATGCTAAAATATTTTGCCTGAAAAGTCCATTTTGTTTTCTTTTTTATTTAGAGATGGAGTCTTGCTCTGTTGCCCAGGCTGGAGTGCAGTGTGCGTCGATCATAGCTCACTGCAGCCTCAAAAGTGATTCTCTTGCCTCAGCCTCCCCAGTAGCTACAGAACTACAGGCATGCACTACTACACCTGGCTAATTTTTTTTTTAATTTTCTGTAGAGACAAAGTCGTGCCATGTTGCCCAGGTTAAAAGTCAATGTCATATGTACTATGCAAATCTGAACATGTCACATCTCTTTAAGAGCTTCTCACTATGTTTTCTATGATGAGCCTCCAAAATCCTTAACATGACATAAAATATCTTGCATGATTTGGCCCTTCTTCAAATCCAAGGCCTCAGATACGACTGAGACTTCTCCTAGGCTCCACCATAATCCAAATTTTTCATGATTTTTAAATCATTCCAATGATATGATGAATTAAAAGAAACAGGAATGAACAGCTGGCTAAATGTAATGAAAAAGCAACCCACTCCATGAACCTTGATGGAATACTGATTCAAAGGAATAAAACTAGTAAAATTAGTCATAAAGGACATAACAGGCACAAATGGGAACATTTCAACATGAAATTATTTTTAGTGTTATAAATGTGGTTATGTAGGAGAATGTCCTTATTTTTACGAGCTGCAGGTCAAACTTTCAAATGATTCAGAAAAAAAAAAGTACATGTGAGATGTATTTTATATACCTATTATACATGCATGTAAGATAAAGAGATAGAGACACACATAAAGCAAATGTGCCAAAATAGTAACAACCGGTAACTCTAGATGAAGGCTAGACAGATGTTCACTGTACAATCCTTTCTTGGATCTGTTAATTGTACAAGTATTTCGGCCGGGCATGGTGGCTCATGCCTCTAATCCCAGCACTTTGGGAGGCCGAGGCAGGCGGATCATCTAAGGTCAGGAGTTCCAGACCAGCCTGGCCAACATGGTGAAACCTCATCTCTACTAAAATTACCAAAATTAGCCGGGTGTGATGGCAGGCGCCTGTAATCCCAGCTACTTGGGAGGTTGAGGCATGAAAATCGCTTGAACCTGGGAGGTGGAGGTTGCAGTGAGCCGCAATCGCACCACTGCACTCCAGCCCAGACAACAAAGTAAGACTCCGTCTCAAAAAAAAAAAAAAAAAAAAGGAGTAACTATTTTAAGTTTTGCAGGCCCTACAGTCCCTGTTCCAACTACTCAACTCTGCCGTTGTAGCAAAAAACGCAACCATAAACAATATGTAAATAAATAAGCATGGCTATATTCCAATAAAACTTTATTTACACACACTGAAATTTTATATAATTTTCATGTGTCATGAAATTTTTTTTAAAACTTTAAAATGTAAAAACTTAGCACACATGTAGAAATGATGATATAATTTGCAGGGACTATTGACAAAAAAAAACAATGGAGCCTCTTGTTTAAAAGTTATTAAGAATTTCAAAATAGTAACAGCAGAGAACCAAACCAAGCACAGGGCCTTTCTCAGGGTGGGTCCCTGTATGACTACATAGCATGCATATCCACAAATCACGCAGGCCATAGTTTACCAACTCCTGGCTTAGATTCTACTGAAGATGGTTCAAGATTCAGAGCAGAAATGACAGAGTTCAAATCCCCTCCTACCACTTAATAGTTGTGTTCTCTGTCCCCTAGTATAAATAGCATATATCTCGGAGTTGTGAATAAATGATTTAATATATATAAAATACTTAGAATGGTCATATGTGTGTGTGTGTGTGTGTGGTGTGTGTGTGTGTGTGTATATATATATATATATATATATTTTTTTTTTTTTTTTTTTTTTTTTTTTTGAAACAGAGTCTCGCTCTGTCACCCAGGCTGGAGTGCAGTGGCGTGATCTCAGCTCACTGCAACCTCCACCTCCCTGGTTCAAGGAATTCCCCTGCCTCAGCCTCCCAAGTAGCTGGGATTACAGGCGCCTGCCCACCATGTCCAGCTAATTTTTTTTGTATTTTCAGTAGAGACGGGGTTTCACCATGTTGGCCAGTCTGGTCTTGAACTCCTGACCTCAGACAATCCGCCTGCTTCGGCCTCCCAAAGTGCTGGGATTACAGGTGTGAGCCACCGCGCCCGGCCAGTTTTGACTACTTTTTAGTCAACTAAAAAAATTTTAAGACCAGGTGCGGTGGTTCACGCCTATAATCCCACCTGGGGAGGCCAAGATGGGAGGATAGCTTCAGCCCAGGAGTTCAAGACCAGCCTGGGCAACACAGTGAGATTTCGTCTCTACAAAAAATTTAAAAAATTAGCTGGGCACAGTGACACACACCTGCAGTCCCAGCTATTCAAGAGGCTGTGGTGAGAGGATCATTTGAGCCAAGAGGTCAAGGCTGCAGTAAGCCATGATTGTGCCACTGCACTCCAGCCTGAGTGATAGAGTGAGACCCTGTCTTAAAAAAAAAAAAAAAAAAAAAAAAAAAAAGGTTTTAAGAGTTGATTGCTTGCAGTGAGCTGAGATCGCGCCACTGCACTCCAGCCTGGGCGACAGAGCGAGACTCCGTCTCAAAAAAAAAAAAAAAAAAAAAAAAAAAAGAGTTGATTGAGGTAGCAGGATATCAAACACATTTTTTAAATTTGCTATACAACTAAAAGTATCATCTGAATAGTTAAGTGTGTCAAAATGTTTGTGAAATTAAATATAACATTTCCTTAGAGCCCTCATATAAAAATACCCTGGTAGCTTAGACTAGTCAGAGTCTCTCAAGAATTATGACAACTACCCATCAAGACTTAACGATTCTGGACTGACTTAGTTACTACATTGTAAAAGGAAATTTAAATAAGACCCCAGGTGTCATATATTACTTATCGTTTTGCAATTCATCAATTGTACAATAACAGAAAAATTCCTCAAATAAAAATTATAGTATGTTATGTGAAAATGGAGAATGTATAACTATTTTAAGAAAGTACTTATTGGTAGTAAAAGCCTGTTGCCTATCTACTGTGTGCAAGAAATCGTGCTCAAGAACAAAGGAATAAAAAGACATGGTGGTCTGTGTCCCAAAAAGTTTACCATCTAAAAGTGAATATAGGATGGGATCACATCAGTTTTTAAAGTAAATTACACAAGGCTGCACAGCAATGCCAGCCCTATTTAACAACTCTACCTCAGTGTCTACTAGGTGTCTCAAACTTAACATGTAAAAAATATAACTCTTGACTTTTTTCCAAAAAAAACCTATTCTTCCCTTGTCTTCCTCTTTATCAATAAACAGAATCTCCATCCACCCAGCTGCTAAAGCCAAAAATGCGATTTTTTTATTCTTCTAATTCCCTATAAAAAAATTCAACATCAACTCTTCTTGATGCTATGAAAAAATGTTCTCAACTATCTCCCAAGTTGTCTCTCACCTGGCCCAGCCTGATAACTAGTTTCCTACAATGGCTTCCTGCGTGGTCTCTTTGCATTCACTCTTCCCCCATACAGCCCATTATCAAACAGTACTCAAAATATTTTTAAAACATAAACCTTATCTCCCACCACTGCTAAAAGCTTTCTAATTGCTTCCTATTGCACTAACCATAACATCCAAACTCATCACTACAGATGAATTATAATGCCTAACATGACCTCATCCTTGCCTACCTCTGATCTTAATTCTTAACCATCCCTTCCTCTTGCACACCCTGCTCCAACCCTATCGGCCTTCCTTCCGTTCCTTGAAGATCAAGCTCCTTTCTCCCTGAGGCTTTAATCTACAAGCTTCTCCCCACAACCACCACCACCTGCTATCCACCCTTTCCTACCCATGACTCCAGTGGTCAAACCTTGCATTCCCAACAGGAAGACAGGCAAACATCCTGGGTTTCCAGGTGGAGATGACACAATGCATCATCACCAATGAGTATTCGTGCCAAAAAAGTTTAAACTGTATCTGTCCCAAGGAAACAATCAGAAAAATTCAGGAAGGGGGCCATTCTAAAAGATAATTAGTCTAAACTCTTCAGAAAAGCAAGTAACCTAAGAGTGTTATCAAATTATCAATAATCTAGAGAAGCAGGGTATCAACACATCTAAAACAGGATTAAGCAGTATTATGTCACAACAACTTCACAGAATATACGATGCAGTCTTTTTTTAGCCATAAAACCTTCCTGGCTAGTTCTACTCTTCCCCTTTCTCACTACGGCAACTGAGTAGTCCAAAAAAGAAAAAAGAAAAAACTTCCTAACAATATTAAACATTTATACTATTAAATTAAAAATAGCAAAGCCACCAAAATTTGCACTATGATTATAAGGTCATATGTAAACCAATGAGCACAGATTAGATCTTTGGCAAGATTACAAATCAGTGTTGAGACTTTTGAGGATATTGGGATGGGGTGAATATGTTTTGCATGTGGAATAGAGGTGAATTTTGGGGAGCCAGGGGGTGGACTGTGGTAGACAAAATAATGCCCCCCGCCACCCGCCCCCACCAAGGATGTCAACATCCGAATCCTCAGAACCCGCAAATACGTTAGGTTACACGGCAAAGGGAAATTAAGGTTGCTATCATCTGACCTTGAGATTGGGAGATTATTCTGGAATGTCAGCCCAACATTATCACAAGGGTCCTTATCAGTAAAAGAGGAGGATAGAAGAGGGAGTATCACAACCACTGCTGGCTTTGGAGATGGAAAGGGGCCATGAGCCAAGGAATATGGGCAGCCCTTTGAAATTGGAGAAGGCAAGGTATAAAAAACTAAAATAAAGGATTCTTCCCTAGACCTTCCAGAAAAGAATGCAGCCCTGCCAACTGGCCTTTTATTTTAGCCCAGTGAGATCTGTATCAAAACTGTGATCTCCAGAACTGTAAAATCATTTTGTGTCGTTTTAGGCCACTAAGTTTGGGGTAATTTGCTATAACGGCAATAAAAAGCTAGTCATCCATCATTTAACAAAGGTGATACCTTCTCGGAGGTGCACTGTTAGATGACTTCTTCACTGGGCAAGCATCACAGACTACAAGCCACCTCGACGGTGTAGCCTATTACACACCTAAGGTACAAGGTATAGCCTATATGGTTCCTAGAATACAAACCTGTACAGTATATTACTTTACTGAATACTGTAGGCAATTGTTAACACAATGTTATTTGTGTATCTAAACATATCTAGGCCGGACGCAGTGGCTCACTCCTGTAATCCTAGCACTTTGAGAGGCTGAGGCAGGTGGACAGCCTGAGCTCAGGAGTTTGAGACCAGCCTGGGCAACATGGCAAAACCTCATCTCTACCAAAAATACAAAAAGTTAGCCAGATGTAGTGGTGTGCACCTGTGTTCCCTGATAGGAGGCTGAGGTGGAAGGATCACTTGAGCCTGGGAGGTGGAAGTTGCAGTGAGACAAGATAACACCACTGCACTCCAACTTGGGTGACAGAGTGAGACCCCATCTCAAAAAAAAGAAAAAACAGGTGCATTCAATTATATGTGCTTGTGTCTGTATGTATACATACACACACACAGATGCATATATATATATATACACACACACGTCTAAAAGATAATTAGTCTAAACTCTAGAAAAGTAACATAAAATTGTTACCAAATTATCAATAATCCAGAAAAGCAGGGTATCAACATGTCCAAAACAGGACTAAGCAGTATTATGTCATAACAACTTAATAGAATATATGACACAATCTGTTGTTGACTGGAATGTGACTGTATATATATACATACATGTATACATATATAGTCATAATTATATGTATGTATATATGCAGTCATATATATAGGTATATATATTATATAGATGTATATATACAGTCATACATAGGTATACATACATAGATATATATACACTCATATATATAGGTGTGTGTGTATATATATATACACACACACACACACTCATATATATAGGTCTATACATATATATACACACACAGTCATATTCCAATCAACAGACCACAAATACAACAGCGGTCCCATGGGATTATAATATCATATTTTTACTGTACCTTT
The DNA here is from genome assembly GCF_000001405.40 of Homo sapiens. Classification (NCBI taxonomy): domain Eukaryota; kingdom Metazoa; phylum Chordata; class Mammalia; order Primates; family Hominidae; genus Homo; species Homo sapiens. Next base: position 195,428,478 of record NC_000003.12, read on the forward strand.
TCTATGTTTAGATATGTTTAGATACACAAATGCCACTGTGTTAAAATTGCCTACAGTATTCAGTACAATAACAAGCTGTACAGGTTTGTATCCTAGGACCCAGAGGCTATATCATATACCCTAGATGTGTAGTAGGCTATACCATCTAAGTTGTGTAAATACACCCTATGATGTTTACATGACAAAATCATGATGCATTTCTCAGAAGATATTCTCGTCATTAAGTAACACATAACTGCAATTAAACACACACATGCAGGAATATATTATATACTCACACAATGGGTAATATCAAAAGGTGATATTACCAAATGCTAGCAAGAATGTGGAGCAACAGGAACACTCAAATATTGTTGGCAGATTTATAAACAGTACAATCGCTTTGGAATAATGCTTTGCAGTTTCTTATAAACACGTTTACCCCTTGACACAGCAATTCAACTCCTAGGTATTTATCTTAAGAGAAATGAAAACCTACCGTAAGAAAATTTGTATAAGAATGTTCGTAACAACTTTATTCACAATGATCAAACAATGGAAGCAATCTATCCATCATCAGGAGAATGAATACATTATGGTACATTCACAAAGAAATACTACACAGCAGTAAGAATGAACTAGTGACACTGGCCAGGTGCAGTGGCTCACACTTGTAATCCCAGCACTTTGGGAGGCTGAGGTGGGTGAATCACTTGAGGTCAGGAGTTCGAGACCAGCCTGGCCAACATGATAAAACCCCATCTCCGCTAAATATACAAAAATTAGTCGGGTGTGGTGGTGTGTGCCTGTAATCCCAGTTATCCAGGAGGCTGAGGCAGGAGAACAGCTTGAACCCAGGAGGCAGTGAGCTGAGATCGCACCACTGCACTCCAGCCTGGGCAAAAGAGCAAGACTCCATCTCAAAAAAAAAAAAAAAAAATGAACTAGTGACACACAGAAAAACATGGATCAATCTCATAGTTAAAATGCTAAGCAAAAGTACCAAAACGCTGAGAATAATAATTGACATACAAACCATAAGAATCTATTTATAATGTTCAACGATAGGCAAAACTAATCTAAAGTTCAAAAAAAGCAAAACAGTGGTTGTCTTTAGGTGGTGGGGGAAGCATTCTGGGAAGATGGAAAATAGGCTGTATCGTGACAGAGGTGTAGGTGACGGGTAGTGTACAATTGTGCATTTCAATGTATGCAAGTTTTTATCAAGAAAAAAACTATGAACACGAATTAATACTTTTTAATTTCTTTTCTTTGGGTGCTTCTACTTTAGGTTTCATATCTAAGAAACCATTGCCTAATTCAAGGTCACAAAAATTTAATCTTATGTTTTCTCCTAAGAGATTTATAGTTTTAGGTCTTCCATTTAGATCTATGATCCATTTTGGGAGAGTTCTTTTTGCCTATGGCACAAGGGAGAGTAAGTATAACAGAAACATAGATGAAACAAGAATTACACAACATTGGTATTTGCTTAAACTGGATAATGAGGGGTCATTAATATTATTCTGTTTAATTTGTATATGCTTGAAATTTTCTATAATCAAAAAATTAAGTGCAAAATGCCAGGAAAGCAACAAATTCAGGTTAGAAAGGAAGATGAAAAGGACAGGTCCAAAACAGTCCATGGATGACTGCCTAATGTTCTCTAATGATTTGTTTCTGCCAAGATGATCTGCCGGGATTTCTTATCTACAGATTATCAGGGAGGGAATTTACTTGATAAAGAAGAGACACAATCTTCTAATGTGATAAAGGACACAAAATAAATCCTACATAAGCTATGAAGCTTATTTGATGGATGTTTGATGCTATTAATTATTGTTACTTTTTTCTGATGTGATAATGGTGTGTAGTTACATAATTTTTTTAAAGTGTATATATTTTCAGAGACATACACATACATACTGATGGAATTCTATACTCTCTGAGATTTGCTTCAAAAATCATATGGGGAGGCCAGGAGCAGTGGCTCACACCTGTAATCCCAGCACTTTGGGAGGCCGAGGTAGGCAGATCACTTGAGGTCAGAAGTTCGAGACCATACCTGGCCAACATGGCGAAACCTCATCTGTACTAAAAATACAAAATTTAGCTAGGCATAGTGGTTCACGCCTATAATCCCAGCTACTCGGGAGGCTGAGGCAGGAGAATCACTTGAACCCGGGAGGCAGAGGTTGCAGTGAGCCGAGATTGCACCACTGCACTCCACCCTGGGTGACAGAGTGTGACCCTGTCTCAACTGAAAAAAAAAAAATCATATGGGGAAACAAGGGGCTGGGGTTTAAAGATCACCATGCATTGATAACTGTTAAGTCAAGGCGAAAGAAATATGGAGGCTCAACATGTATTTTCTATTCCACCTATGCGTTTGATTATAAATGTTCTACGCTTCAAACCTTTTTCAGTAACAGCTATATTGAAATATAATTCACAACATAAATTCACCATTTAAAAATATAGTTTAGTGGGTTTTAGTATATTTAGAGTTCTACAACCATTACCACTAACTCCAGAAAATCTTCATCACTCCCAAAAGAAACCCCATATCCGTTAGCAACCACTAATTGCATTTCCCTCACCCTCCAACCCCTAGAAATCACTAATCTATTTTGGCTCTACAAATTTGCCTATTCTGGACATTTCACATAAAATTATATAATATATGGCTTTTGTGTTTGGCTTATTTCATTTAGTAAAATGTTTCCAAGGTTCATCCATATTATGGCATATAACAGTATTTCATTCCATTTGACAGCTGAATACCTTAATTCCATTTGTATAGATACTTCATATCTTATTTATCCATGTACGGACACAGGTTGTTTCACTTTTTGGCAGTGAATAATGCTCCTATGAACATCCTTGTACAAAGTTTTGTGGGTATATATCTTCATTTCTCTTGGGTATACACCTAGAAGTGGAATGGCTCGCTAGAACTCATATGGTAACTCTATGTTTAACTTTTCTTTTTTTTCCCCAAGACAGAGTCTCGCTCTGTCACCCAGGCTGGAGTGCAGTGGCGTGATCTCGGCTCACTGCAAGCTCCACCTCCTGGGTTCACGCCATTCTCCTGCCTCAGCCTCCCGAGTAGCTGGGACTACAGGTACATGCGACCATGCCCGACTAATTTTTTTTTTTTTTTTGTATTTTTAGTAGAGATGGGGTTTCACTATGTTTGGCAGGATGGTCTCGATCTCCTGACCTCATGATACACTCGTCTCGGCCTCCCAAAGTGCTGGGATTACAGGCATGAGGCACCGCACCCAGCCTCTATGTTTAACTTCTTATCTTAGGAACTCCCAAACTCTTCCAATGTGGCTCACCATTTTACATTCCCACTGGCAGTGCATGAGGGTTCTAACAGCTCCACATTCTTCCCAATGCTGGTTATTATCTGTCTTTTCCAGTATAGCCATCCTAGTGGGTATGAAGTCGTATCTCACCATGATTTTATTTGTATTTATATGCATTGCTAGTTAATGATGTTGAGCATATTTTCATGTGCTTATTGACCATTTGGGTATGTTCTTTGAAGAAATACTTACTCAAATCCTTTGCCCATTCTTTAATTGGATTATTTGTCCTTCGAGTTGCAGAGCTTTACATTCTCTAGATACAAATCCCTTAACAGGTATAATTTGCAAATATTTTCTCTCATTTTGTGCATGACTTTTAATGTTCTGTGTCCTTTGAAGCATGAAAGTTTTTAATTTTAATGAAATTCAATTTATCAATCTTTTCTTGGGTTCCTTGTACTTTAAATTTCATACCTAAGAAACCATTGCCTAATTCAAGGTCACAAAGATTTAATTCTGTTTTCTCCTAAGAGCTTTATAGTTTTAGGTCTTCCATGCAGGCCTGTGATCTATTTTGAGTTAATTTTTGCCTATGACATAAGATAGGGCTCCAACTTCATACTTTCACGTGTGGATATTCAGTTGTCTTTGCACCATTTGTTCAAAAGACTATTCTTTCACGCATTGAATTGTCTGGGTACCTCTGTTAAAACTGGCTCACCATAAATGCAAGGCTTTGTTTCTGGACTCTTCAATTCTATTTCACTGATCTATATGTCTATCCTTATGCCAGTACTACACCGTCTTCATTACAATCACTTTGTAGTAACTTTTGAAATTGGAAATTGAATCCTCCAACTTCGTTCTTTTTCAAGATTGTTTTGGCTGTTCTGGGTTACTTATATTTCCACATGAATTTTAGGATCAGCTTGACAATTTCTTCAAAGAAACCGGTTGGAATTTTCATAGAGATTGCGTTTAGTTTGTAGATCAATTTGGGGAATATTGCCATCTTAACAATATTCAGCCTTCTGATCCATGAACATGGGATGTATTTCCATTTATTCAGGTCTTTAATGTCTTTCAATGGTGTTTTCAGTGTACTGTCTTCTAAGTACTTTCCTCTTTTTGACGCCACTATAGACAGATTGGTTTTCTTTGTTAGTATACAGAAATACAAATAATTTTTGTACATTGATCTTATAGACTACATCCTAGCTGAACTTACTAGTTATAACTGATTTTTGTGGATTCCTTAGCATTTTCTATATACCTTCATCCCTTGGTATCCATAGGACATTGGTTCCAGGACTCCCCCTGCCCACCCCCTGCACTACCCACTAATACCAAAATCCACGGATGCTCAAGTCTGTATATAAAATGGCACTGTATTTGCAAATAACCTTCATACATCATCTTATATACTTTAAATCATCTCTAGATTATTTCTAATACCTAATGCAATGTAAATGTTATGTGTAAATAGTTGTTATACTATTTATTTGTACTTTGTTATCGTTATTTTTTATTGTTTTTTTCCAAAATATTCTCAATCCATGATTGATTGACTCACAAAAGTGGAACCCATAGATACAAAGGCTGATTGTACAAGACTTATTATCTAAAAATATAGTTTTACTATTTCTTTTCCTATATGGATGCCTTTAATTTCTCTTTCCAGCCTAACTGCTCTGGCTCTATCCTCTGCTACAGTGTTGAACAGAAGTGGTGACAGGCTTCTTGCTCCTTATGTTAGGGGAAAGCTTTTAGTCCTTCACCACTAAATATGATGTTAGCTGAGGGTGTTTTAAAGATGGCCGTTATCAAATTAGGATCAAGTTAGGAAATTTTCTATTTTTAGTTTTTTGAATAGTTTTATCATGAGTGTTAGATTTTGTCAAATGCTTTTTCTGCATCTATTGAGATGATTGTGTTGTTTTAATACTTTACCCTATTATTATAGTATATTGCATTGATTGATTTTTGTATATTAAATCAACTTTGCATTCCTGGGATAACTATGACTTGGTCATGGTGTACAATCCTTTTTATATGGTGCTATATTCAGTTTGCTAGTACTTTCGTCAAAGATTTTTGTATCTGCATTCATAAGGAATACTGGTCTGTAGGGTTTGTTTGCTTTGTTTTTGGTGGGTTTGTTTCATTTTTGTTTTGAGACTAGGTCTCACTATGTCACACAGGCTGAGTGCAGTGGCACCATCACAGCTCACCAAAGCCTCAACTACCCAGGCTCAAGTGGTCCTCCTGCCTCAACCTCCTGAGGAGCTGGGACTATAGGCATGTACCACCACACACAACTAATTTTTAATTTTTTTATAGAGACAAGGTCTCACTATGTTGCCCAGACTGATCTCGAACTCCTGGACGCAAGCAATCCTCCCACTGTGGCCTCCCAAAGTGCTGGGATTACAGGAATGAACCGCCATGTTTGGCCTGGTTTTGTTTTTTTGTTTTTTGAGACAGGATCTTGCTCTGTCACCCAGGCTGGAGTGCAGTGGCGCAAATACAGCTCACTGTAGCCTCAACATTCTGGGCTCAAGCAATCCTCCCATCTCAGCCTCTCAAGTAGTTGGAACCACAGACGCATGCTATCACACTTAGCTAATTTTTTTTGTTTGATTTGGTTTGGTAGAGACAGGGTCTCCCTGTGTTGCCCAGACTAAACCCCTGGGCTCAGGCAATCCTCCTGCCTCGGCCTCCCAAAGTGCTGGGAATATAGGCATAAGCCATTGTGCCCAGCTGGTCTGTAGGGTTTTTTTGTGATACATCACCTGGCTTTGGTAGCAGGATAACAATGGACTAATGATTAGGAATCTCGATGCTTTGAAAAGTGATGTCTCCTCTTCTATTTCTTAAAGGAGTGTGAATGAATGTCAGTAATTCATCTTTGAACACTTGATAGAATTCACCAGTGAAGTCATCTTGGCCAGTGCTTTTCTTTTTGGGAAACTTTCTGAATATCAATTAAATCTCTATTTTTTATAGGTCTGTTCAGATTTTCTGTTTCTTCTTGAGTCGGTTTCAGTAGTTTGTGTCTTTCTTGAAATATATTCTTCTAAGTTAATGTCATCAATTATCTGTAGTATTTCCTCATAATCCTTTTTATTTCTGTAAATTGGTAGTGATGTGCCCTCTTTCACTCTTGAATGAAGTAATCTGAGTCACTGCCCTTTTTTCTTGGTCACTCTAACTAAAGATGTGTCCATTTTGTTAGGCTTTTCAAAGAACCACCTTTTGGTTTCAATTATTTTTCTCAATTGTTCTCTTCTCTATTTTCTCTTATTTCTGCTCTACCTTTTTTAGTTTCTTCCCTTTCGCTGCTTTGAGATTTGCTTACTCTTCTTTTTCTAGTTTGCTGGGGTGAAGATTAGCTACTATTTTGAGATCTCTTTTTTTTTTAGACAGAGTCTCACTCTGTTGTCCAGGCTGAAGTGCAGTGGCGTACTCTTGGCTCACTGCAACCTCTGCCCCCCGGGTTCAAGTGATTCTCCTGCCTCAGCCTCCCGAGTAGCTGGGATTACAGGTGTGTGCCACCATGCCCAGCTAATTTTTGTATTTTTAGTAGAGACGGGGTTTCACCATGTTGGTCTCTCAATCTCCTGACCTCGTGATCCACCCACCTCGGCCTCCCAAAGTGCTGGGATTACAGGGATGAGCCACTGCACCCGGCCTCTTTTTTTTTTAATATTAGTGTTTGCAGGTATAAATTTCTCTCTAAGCAGTGCTTTAGCTGCATCCCATAAGTTTGGCGTGTTCTATTTTTGTTTTCATTCATCTGAAAATATTTCTTCATTTTGCTTGTGACTTCTTTGATCCACTGTTTACTTAGAAGTGTACTGCTAATTTCTACATATTTGTGAATTTTTCAGATTTCCTTGTTATTGATTTCAAATTTTATCCCCTTATGGTCAGAAAATATTTTGTATGATTTCAATACTTTAAAATTTATTGAGGCTTGTTTAATGGCCTAACATCATACTCTATGCTGGAGGATACTTCATGTAAACTCGAGAAGAATGTGAATTCTGCTGCTGCTGTATGAAGTGTTCTATAGATAACTAGTAAGTCTTCTTGGTTTATAGCACTGTTCACATCTTCTATTTCCTTATTAATCATCTGCCTGGTTGTTCCACCCATTATTGGAAGTATTTATATCTCAAACTATGATTGCTGAATTGTCTATTTCTGCCTGCAATGCTGTTTTTGTTTCGTGTATTTTGGAGCTCAGCTAAGTGAATATATATTTATAGTCATTATGTCTTTCTTATGGATTGACCCTTTTATTTTTATACACATACACACACACAGATATATACATATATATGTATATATATATATATTTTTTTTTTTTGGAGACAAAGTCCCACTGTCACCCAGGCTGGAGTGCAGTGGCACGATCTCAGCTCACTGCAACCTCCACCTCTCCCAGGCTCAAGTGATCCTCCCACCTCAGCCTCCTGAGTAGCTGGGACCACAGACATGTGCCACCATGCCCAGCCAACGGTTTTTTTGTATTGTGGGTAGAGACAGGGTTTCATCATGTTGCCCAGCCTGGTCTCGAACTCAAGAGATCAAGCGATCTGCCCACCTCAGCCTCCCAAAGTGCTGGGATTACAGGAGTGAGCCACCATGCCCAGCCCTCTTATTATACTTGCCTGTAGTAATTTTTGTCTTAAAGTCTATTTTATCTGATATTAGCACAGCCACTCCACCTCTCTTTTGGGTACTGTTTGCATGGTTTGTCTTTTACTTTCAACCTATTTATGTCCTTAAATCTAAAGTATGTCTCTTCCTAAATACCATATAGTTGAATCATCCCTGAAATTTTAATAAGGCCAAATAATAAAAAGTTTTAAATAAATAAGGCCAAAATACATAGAAAGACATATCCTCTTCTGAAATTGAAGAAAAAAGTACTGTAAAGACTAAATATGTAAAACATATAACAAGAGGAAATTTGTCCTCCCGCACATCACAAAAGGGATGTGCGATTCATTTTAAATCAATGAAGAATGAATTTTTTTTAAAGGTGTTAGAACAAGTGGTTTTCATTAGGAAGAAAATAAAATTAGATTATCTGCTACAATCAAAACTAAGACCCAGTTGCATTACATGAAACTTAAAATCACTATAAAATGACAGAAAAATATAATGGGGTAGGGAAACTTTGCTAGGCAATAAACAAAAGCCAGCTTTTAAATTTCTATATGATAAAAGACACCATAAACAACGCAAATTTAACTGACACAATATTTAATAATTTTTTTTAAAGAGACAGGGTCTTGCTCTGTCTTCCAAGGTGGAGTACAGTGGCATCACCATAGCTCACTGTAACCTCAAACTCCAGGGCATCACAATCCTCCTGCCTCAGCCTCCTGAGTAGCTGGGACTACAGGCGTGGGCCACATTTGGCTAATTTTTTTTTTTTTGTAAAGACAGGGTCTCACTCTGTTGCCTAGGTTGATTTCAAACTCCTGGCCTCAAGTGATCCTCCCTCCTCAGCCTCCTGAACTGTTGAGATTATAGCATAAGCTACTGCACCCAGCCTAACAAATGAAATTAAAGCCTTTGGCTTAACATATAGAGTAAATGAGTGAATTCTCTTCCAGGACCACCATGTGAAAGTTCACCATTAAGAAAGTCAATTACTAGCAAAAGAAGTAACTATTTTTAAAAAGTCAATTAATCTATCAAAATGTCCAGTTGCAGATTTTTCCGGATTTTTTAAAACATTTTTGAGTCTGGTCGAGGTGGCTCACACCTGCAATCCCAGCATTTTGGGAGGCCGAAGCTGGTGGATCACAAGGTCAGGAGTTCAAGACCAGCCTGGCCAACATAGTGAAACCCCGTCTCTACTAAAAATATAAAAAATTAGCCAGGTGTGGTGGCAGGCGCCTGTAATCCCAGCTACTCGGGAGGCTGAGGCAGGAGAATCACCTGAACCAGGGAGGTGGAGGTTGCAGTGAGTGGAGATTGCACCACTGCACTCCAGCCTGGGCGACAGTGTGAGACTCTGTCTCAAAAAAAAAAAAAAAAAAAAGCAAAAAAAAACCCACATTTTTAAAATGAGGATAAGTCCTACTTTACATGCTTTTTTTTTTTTTTTTTTTTCATTAAAATTAGAGACAAGGTCTCTATGTTGCCCAGGCTGGTCTCAGGCAATCCTTCCACCTCGACCTCACAAAGTGCTGGGATTACAAATGTAAGCCATTGCGCCCCACCTGCAAGAATTTTCTTTTTTTTTTTTTTGAGATGGAGTCTCACTCTGTCCCCCAGGCTGGAGTGCAGTGGCGCAATCTCAGCTCACTGCAACCTCTGCCTCCCAGGTTCAAGCAATTCTCCTGCCTCAGCCTCCCGAGTAGCTGGGATTACAGGTGCCCACCATCACGCCCACCTAATTTTTTTGTATTTTTAGTAGAGATGGTGTTTCACCATGCTGGCCAGGCTGGTTTCGAACTCCTGACCTCAACTGATCTGCCCACCTCAGCCTCCCAAAGTGCTAGGATTACAGGTTTGAGCCACCACACCCAGTCAGGATTCCTGTATTTTGGTTCATAATAAAATTACTTTATAATTCCATTCTACTGCTTCTGAGATTAAAAAAAAAAAAAATTTCCCCTCAGCCCTTACCCACTGTATTAACAGGCAGTTGCTAAAAGTTTATTATAAAGATGGAAGGCAAAGGAAGGAGACAAGATTGGCACCAATCCAGACTTAATAGCAACACATAACTGAGGTGTATTTAGTAGTCACATTTTATTCCAATGTCTTTCGCCCATTAAAACCTTTCACCTGACTGGGCATGGTGACTCATACCTGTAATCCCAGCTACTCAGGAGGCTGCGGCAGGAGAATCACCTGAGTCCAGGAGTTGGAGAACAGCCTGGATAACAAGTAAGACTCTGTCTCTCAAACATAATTCACCCACAAACACCCTTTTTAAAAAAAAAGTTATTCTAAGTTACTGAACAAGAATCGTATCTAGCCGGGCATGGTGGCTTATGCCTGTAATCCCAGCACTTTGGGAGGCTGAGGCGGGCGGATCACCTGAGGTCAGGAGTTCGAGACCAGCCTGGCTAACATGGTGAAACTCCGTTTCTACTAAAAATACAAAAAATTAGCCAGGCGTGGAGGTGCACGCCTATAATCCCAGTTACTCGGGAGGCTGAGGCAGGAGAACTGCTTGAACCCAAGAGCCGGAGGGTGCAGTGAGCCGACATCGTGCCATTGCACTCCAGCTTGGGCAACAAGAGCAGAACTCTATCTCAAAAAAAAAAAGAATCATATCTGAAATAGAATCTAAAAATGAAAAACCTGCAGGATGGTGTATGATAGACATTGTTAAAGGATAAAAATAAATTATCAGATAAAAACTAAAGCATACCAAGGCTAAGGCCTTTTTTTTTTTTTTTTTAAGAGAGAGAGAGAGAGTCTAGCTCTGTTGCCCAGGCTGGAGTGCAGAGGTGTGAACATAACTCACTGCAGCCTTGACCTCCTGCCTCAGCTTCCCATGTAGCTGGAATCACAGATGCACGCCACCATGCCCAACTAATTTTTTTATTTTTGTAGAGACGGTGTCTCACTTTGTTGCCCAGGCTGGTCTCAAACTCCTGGCCTCAAGCGATCCTCTTGTCTCAGCCTTCCAAACTGCTGGGATTACAGGCATGAACCACTGCACCTGGCCACAATATTTTTATACTTGAACACTGCTGACAAAAATCTTTCATAATTCAGAAAGATGTTTATTTATTCAATTTATTTATTCTACTTTTTATTTCAAATAGATATTCACTTCCTAAGTAAAACAGAATACATTTTGGGTTTTTTTGTTTTTTTTGTTTTTTTTGTTTTTGAGACAGTCTCGCTCTGTTGCCCAGGCTGGAGTACAGTGGCACAACCTCAGCTCACTACAGCCTCTGCCTCCCAGGTTCAAGCAGTTCTCATGCCTCAGTCTCCCAAGTAGCTGGGATTACAGGTGCACACTACCACACCCGGCTAATTTTTGTATTTTTAGTAGAGATGGGGTTTTACCATGTTGGCCAGGCTGGTGTCAAACTCCTGACCTTAAGTGATCCGCCGTCCTCCACCTCCCAAAGTGCTGGGATTACAGATGTGAGCCACAGTGTTCAGCCCAAGAGTATGTTTAAGTAAAAGAAAAGCAGTACTTTTACGGAGGTTTTGTAAAATTTTAAAGACCTACTACATGCAACTACATACAATTAAGGGCCCAAACAAATTCCAACTTCAACATATTTTGGCCAAAATGCAAAATTTCCACTCAAAAAAAAGTATACTTAGGCACTTTACATTCCTGTAGATTTTTAGATGAACAAGGTTTTTAGATTTTAGATGAACAAGATTTTGACCTTTAAGCTGATTTTAAACTGGTATTTAAAAAACCAAAAAGGGAACCCAAAATTATACAACGAAATGTGCCCTCCAATCCAAAACAAAAAAAAAATGTTCACTGGGATGTAAAAGTAACCATTGACTATTCAAATTACAAAAGACAATGTTGCAAATGCAACATCCTTCTCCCTATTTCAACCAGTCCCCTTGTATTCTCCTCATTGATTTAACAGGAAAATAGATGTTTAAAGCTTGAACAGTGGTGAAATTTTCATCAGCAAGATGTGCCTTTTGCATTAATTCTACAGCACCAAGACAGTTATGTGCACACACTAGACTTAAATGCCACAAGATTCATTTATGAATAAAGACACGTATTAATTTAAAGACAGCCCAATAGATCAGGACACAAGTGCAGCTGCCTTACTACCAAAAAACAAGCCCAGGCCTCACAAGCTTTTTATTTTGATACAAGTTTCACTATCACTCAACATACACAATACTCTCAAAAGTAAAGCTCTTCTTATACATACAACATGTGAATGAAGACTTCTCAAATATTCTTTTCAAATGCTATACAGATCCTCATAGTAATAGGATTATGGAAAAACTATAAAAAATTAAGAATATGAATAATGAAACTTCTATTTCTCGGCAGTCTTCCCTCTATTGCAAATCTAATTTGTCCCCAAAATGTATATAAGATGTTGAAGTTATTGAAATTTTGGCATCTCTTCCCAATTTGCAGCTAACAATAATTGGAATATGGGAAACAACTCCTGAAAACCTGTAATATTTTAATTAACATAGAATTTATGTTACAATCAAGTTTAACAAAAGTTCACTATAATATTCCCTACAACTTAATCAGTATGTTGCCCTCTTATTTTATATTCAATGATTTCTTTATTTCAAAAACAAAGACATCACATGGTTTGTGACCAACCCCAGTAGCTAGAAGTATTTCCAAATCACTTCTCTCAACTTAAAAAAAAAAAAAAATTAATGTGAAACAAAGGGAGTTCAAAGCTACATCTTCTAAGGGAAAAATGCTGTGATTATTTCACTTAAAAATAAATAGCTGAGTCATAGTAACAAAATTTCACAAAAAGCTGAACTTTCTAAGGTGCACTTTAAAAATTACTCCACTTGCCATGCTGTCCTGGAAACCAACCTGCACGCCTGTCCTAGGAAATCTATTTGTGTCTCTTGAGTCCTTCAATAATGCAGAACATAAAAGTTTCAAAAATGAATCGCAACAACAGCTATCAAAGGAAGTGGGTTTTTTTAAATAATAGCCCTAGGCTCCAATAAAATTAATACCCAAAAATCATCAAAGGGCAAACGCAAAAAGCGTTCTTAAATTTTCTCTAAGTAGCAGTTCCTTAGTTTTACAATTCTTTTCTTTTTCGCTGAAAGGAGAATAAGAAATCCAATTAACAGTGTTAAGGATGAGAACAGTTAGTTCCCAGGCAGAGGATGCAATTTACAATCCAGGCTTGGCCCAGACATTAGCGGGCACACACACGCCAGTGCTCAGAGGAAGCTTCAAGAAATGTCACTATCTAACGGAAGTGTTAAGGCCTTATATTTGTAAGGACTATGACCAGCCCTGTAAATAAATACACTGTAAAACGCAACCTAGAAAAACTCCATTGTCCAAAACAACTCAAGACTTTCCTACTATCCTCAAAACAGAAAGAACCTGTGTCCTGGACGGCCTCAGGACGACCGCCTCTCACATAGAAAGAAGGGCAACCCATGTGAATCGGAGTGCCCCCATGTCAACTCTGTGACAGATCCACTGGGAGCATCCGACTGTGATCCGGGCCCTCCTGGGCAGAGGCTGCTGGAAGAGGAACACACAGGCAATCTTCACGGCCCTCCTACTTCCGTTCTCAAAACAGAAATGCACTTTTCTGCTAGTCCTCCGCCCTCAGCCCGGTACCTCTCGACAGCTGTGCCCCCTTCAACGAGCTTAAGTGGAAAGAAAAGCAGGTAGTCACCAACTAGGGTCCACGGAATGCGGTTGATCACAGCGCTTCCCCCCGCGATTCCCGCACGCATCCACCGCGGGCGCCCTCCGGAGAGTCGCTCTGGCCGGGGGCACCGCGAAGCAGAAGTCGGCGTCCCAGTTCGCCCCCTACTCTCTCCTCCCCGGGGAAGGGGGGCAGAAAAGCGCAAAGAGGAACTAAATGAACTGCAAGAGGATGCCCTGAAAGCTCCCTCAAAGAGGGGGTGGGGAGGGGGTGGAAACCAAGAAGGGGCGGAAGGAAGGGGGAAGGAAGAGCAGCCAGAGGAGGAAGGGGGCGAGAGCGAGCGCCCGCGAAGGGGACGGGACTTCGGGAGCGCGGCTGCACCCCATTTCCCCCAGCGGGAGAGGGTGCGCCGGCCTTCGGGGCGCTCCGCCCCGGCAGAGGGCAAGGAAAGAAATGAGAGGCGACGTCCCCGTCCCCGCCACTTCGTCGCCCCTCGGGAGGGCTCGGTGGGGACTGCAGTGCCCTCGCAGGGTGGGAAACGGCGGCAACAGCCGCTCGCCCCGTCGGAAGGAGCGGACGGCGGGGCCTCCTCCGGGTGCGCGGGCCCGGCTTTCACGCCCCCAGCGCCGGGAAGGCAGCTCCGCGGTGACGCCGGGCGGCCGTGCCGGTTACCTGAAGCGGGGCGAGTCCTTCAGACACTCCTCGAAATCCACAGTCATCTTCATCCTGCCTCCGCCTCGCAGGCGGCGCTGGCAAAGCCGAGGGGGCCGCGGGAGCGGCCGCGCTGGGACGCAGACGGCTACGGCGGGCGCACGGCCGCGACTAGCGTTGCGCGGAGCTGCGAAGGGCGCCTCGCCCGCTGGTCATAGCAGCCGCGAAGACGGCGACGACTAGTCAGGCCCCAGTCCCGCCCCTCTTCCTCCCGCCCCAAGTAGAGCGCTGGCCGCAGGGAAACGGCCGGGGAGTGACAGCAGCGGCCAGCCAGCCACGAACCTGGCGGCCAAGGGGCGGGGCATCCGGCAGCACCGCCTGCGGGCGCCCGGGCAACGGGTCTGAGCGACGGCAACCCGAGCCAATGAGCAGCGCGACCGTGGGCACCTCCTTGCCACAACCGCCCCCGAGGGCCAACCGGGATGCGCGGGCGTCGCTAGGCGGGACGCACCGGTTGCTGGGAGGCCGGCAGCTGAGGTTCCTTGGGAAGGAAGTCACGTGGCTGCGGCCGCGCTTCCCTCCGAGCCCCCGCCTCTTCTCCTGCTCCCCGAGCCCCGCCCTGCTGAGCTGCCAGCCCAGAGGAGCAGTCTCCTGCAGGTCTGAGGAAGGAAATTTGCTTTTCAAAGCAGATTGGCAGAAATCTGAAGAGGTTAGAGGCAGAAATTATAAAAGGAAGAGATAGGCTAAGCCACCTATTCCTTTCAGTTTAGAGAAACTGAGGCCAGAAGAGGAGCGAGGATAACTTTAGTGATAAAATCCATCTTTCATGTATTTGTTCCATAGCTTCATAATCTGGAAATTGCTCCCATGTACATCTTCTCATATAGCCAGAGACCACTTCCTGAAGGAGCTGCCGTTTGGGTTGGACATAGAAAGATTTAGGCAGGTATGGGAGGTAGGGTGCTTCGTGTGGAGGAACTCCTCTCAAAACTGCCGAAAGCATTCCCCCTCACTGACACTTTGCTCCTGGTGGTTTTCACTGTTCTGCCATGGTGGGGTTCTGAAGACCAGGCTCATCGTACTCACCTTGCAACACCTGCCCCTCTAATCCACACTTTTTCTAGAAGCACTTTAAGATACTTATCATCTGATCCTCACGGCAGGTATTTACCATACTCCTTCATTTTAAGATGCCATTGATTGTAAAAAGTACAAAGATGTCTTATATGTAATGAGTAATTTTTAAGCCAACCTAAAAAACACGGGCGTATCTATAAAAATGAATATACAGGGTGTTCTAACAGCATAGTGGCTCTGAGTGAGAATCTGGAGGCAAACTTCCTGGATTTAGGTCCCAGCTTTCTCACTTTAAAATGAACATAACACACAGATCTGATGAAGTTGTCCGGTTAACACAGTGCCACATATCGATCATTCAGTAAATGTTGGCTATTTTAATTGTACCATTTGCCTCTTCAGTACTATAATCAAAGGGCTTAAGTCTAAGTTCTCTCACTTTCACTGTCTGAAGTTTTTGTTTGTCTCAAAAACAATCAAACAATTTCGTTCCGTTCCCCAGGCTGGTCTCAAACTCATGGCCTCAAGTGATCCTTCTGTCTCAGCCTCCCAAAATGCTGAGATTACAGGTGTGAGCCACACACCCAGCCTTCTAAAGTCTTAATATAACTTTCTGACCGTCTGGCTAAGTATAGCGTGATGACATACTGTTTTTCGTAACCCATCAAGAGATATCTTGATCTCTTTAGCATCTTTAGAAATTAACAGTATAGACAGGGCATGGTGGCTCACACCTGTAATCCCAGCACTTTGGGAGGCCGAGGTGAGCAGATTCCTTGCTCCAGGAGTTCCAGACCAGCCTGGGCAACATGGTGAAATCCTGTCTCTACAACTCTACAAAAATATACAAAAAATTAGCCAGGCACATGCCTATAGTCCCAGTTACTCATGAGGCTGAGGTGGAAGGGTCACTTAAGCCTAGGAAGTCAAGACTGCAGTGAGCCATGATTGTGCCACTGCACTCCAGCCTGGGTAGACAGAGCAAAACACTGTATCAAAAGAAAAAAAAAGGAAAAAGGAAAATTAACAGTATAATTCTGAGGCATTTCAGAGAATATAGAAGCATTATATTCATTTATTCTTTGCTTATAAACTTGATTTCTTTTTTAATTGTGTATTCCTGGAAACCACACAGCTTTTCTTGATAGCTAAAAACAGACTATTGACTGTTAAATGTTCAGGGTCCTCAAGCACATTAGTGGTCAGGCCAACCTTCCCTAACATTGTAACTTCAATGTCAAATTTACCAAGACAGTTGGCAATCTCTACTATATTTGGTTGCGTTCCTGATGTGTGACAGCTAATCTGCATATACAATAACTTATTATTTTAATACTTAATCACAGTGTAGCCTTTTAGAAGATACCTAAAGTGACACTTTGGGGTTCAAATTAATATTCAACTGCATGGCACCACAAAGGCAAATAACTAAGCTAATTACCAAGTGAACATCTTTCTGTGGATGGCTAAATTTGCATATACCCAGTTAGTGATAACACTGTCACAATTTTTCTTCCTTGCCCTGTGATAAAGCAAGCATTTGGGGGTGTCAATTCTAAGATAGGTCCTAAATAAAGAAACATTAAAGTGGGATGGGGTGGGAGCAGTGGGTCTTAGAATAAAAGAAATACAATATTATTATCCTCATCTTTTTTTTTTTTTTTGAGAAGAAGTTTTGCTCTACCACCCAGGCTGGAGTGCAGTGGCACAATCTTGGCTCACTGCAACCTCTGCCTCCCAGGTTCAAGTGATTCTCCTGTCTCAGCCTCCCGAGTAGTTGGGATTACAAGCATGCACCACCACACCTGGCTAATTTTTGTATTTTTATATAATAATGGAAACCAAGGTCCCAACATATGAAAATAAATTACCAGGTGACTCAGGCCAAACACAGGCTGCCTGATGCCAGATCCGAACTACTAACTGTCCTCCCTCCCCTTAAGAATTCTGCCTTTGCAGTTGTAACTCTGTCTGCCCGTGTAGCAATCTCCCTTTCATCTTCTCTTTAAAACACCACTCTTATGCCACCCCCTCAGGAAGCTTTCTTGGCCGAAATACAAACCTCTCTATTCAACACACAGTAAAAGTTCCTTACTAGGCCCAGTCTGCACTCTAAAAGAATATAAAGTACCAAACTTTAAATGTCTTCCAAATTTCTTCTCCCCAAACTTCTCAGTCCCTCTCTACAAACCCTCTGGAACCCTGGACACCCATAGTTCTTCATAGAAAGCTGCTGATTTCCTCTGAGAACATTGTTGACCATACATCCTCTTGAGCAGAGGTTGTTCAATCTCTCCTCCCTGGTACTCCTTGGTCAGGATACATAGTCAGCAAAAGGCTTACACTGTCTTACTTTCCTTGTTGCTGTTATCCAGCAATTTCTAGTAACTCCCTGCCTTAGCCTGGCTAATTGCGTTGCAAATTATCTCAAGAAAAGGAAATTACAATGAGGGTGACTGTGGGCACTACTGGAACTGACAAGGGCAGAAACTCAGGCAACTCTTAGGACTGGTTTTCTCTCTTGTCATCTGCATCCTCTCTCTTTCCTACTTGCCCAACCCCATCAACTTTCCTTTCTGCTTTCCTCTAGGTTCTGTTCCCCTGTGAACCTGGTTTGCATACAATCTATCATTGCTACTGATTCCTCTAGAGGCTCCCAGTGGGTAATATAAAACAATGAAACTTTCCAGGTGTGAGCAGCATGCGGTGGTGGAGGCTATGACGAACAGAAAGCATGTGCCCTGTGTCCTTCTCAGCTCCAGTCAGTTCCTGCCATACCAGACCTCAGATTTAATGAGAGACGCCAAACAGCCAGATTTTCATGTGAAATCTCCCTGTTTTCAAATATTGACAAGCCTTTCAAAATATTACAGAACATTGCACAGGTTATAAAAATAAGTTTCAGGGCCACTCTGCAACCTCTGCTAGATATTTCTTGACAATTCTTTTTTTTTTTTTCTCCTTTTTTCTGAGATGGAGTTTCGCTCTTGTTGCCCAGGCTGGAGTGCAATGGCACAATCTCAGCTCACTGCAACCTCCGCCTCCCGGGTTCAAGAGATTCTCCTGTCTCCGCCTCCTGAGTAGCTGGGATTACAAGCTCATGCCACTATGCCCGGTTAATTTTTGTATTTTTAGTAGAGACAGGGTTTAGCCATGTTGGCCAAGCTGGTCTCAAACTCCTGACCTCAAGAGATCCGCCCACCTCGGCCTCCCAAAGTGCTGGAATTACAGGCATGAGCCACTGCGCCTGGCTGACAATTCTTTATACAGCCTTTCAACTTCGGCTCCTGGTGTTAATTGCTTAAATCTGTTTCCCAACTCACAGATCCCAGGAGACAATTACATTAGCCCAGCTCATCTTTTCATATCAGTCCACACAGGTAGTGGGTCCCTGGCAAGCCAAGAGAGGGATGGAATCACTCAACCTAATCATTTCTGCAGGGATGGGGGCTGCATGATGGCTGACTAGTAGTCAAGGCAATTTCCCTGTAAGAAAATGTTGATAGCTCGGCCCCATAAAACACAGCTAGTAAACACTCACGTTCATCCAGGACTTCGGCTCCTGACTCACAGTCCTTCATCCCAACTTCCACCATCAACTAAGGTGACATCAACATTCACTCATTTTTCTTTCATTCAATAATATTCATTGAGCATTTATTCTGGCCAGACCTTATAATAGGCTCTGAGAGGCTGGGCACGGTGGCTCACGCCTGTAATCCTAGCATTTTGGGAGGCCAAGGCGGGCAGATCACTTGTGGTCAGGAGTTCAAAACCAGTCTGGCCAACATGGTGAAACCCCATCTCTACTAAAACTACAAAAATTAGCCAGGTGTGGTGGCACTGTGCCTGTAATCCCAGCTACTTGGGAGGGCTGAGGCAGGAGAATTGCTTGAACCAGGGAGGCGGAGGTTGCAGTGAGCTGAGATCATGCTATTGCACTCCAGCCTGGATGACAAGAGGGAAACTCCATCTCAAAAAAAAAAAAAAAAAAAGGCCAGATGCGGTTGCTCACGCCTGTAATCTCAGCACTTTGGGAGGCCAAGGCGGGTGGATCACCTGAGGCCAGGAGTTTAAGACCAGCCTGACCAACATGGTGAAACCCTGTCTCTACTAAAAATACAAAATTAGCCAGGTGTGGTGGCGCATGTCTTTAATCCCAGGTACTTGGGAGGCTGAGGCAGGAGAATCGCTTGAACCTGGGAGGTGGGGGTTGCAGTGAGCCGAGATCGCACCATTGCACTCCAGCATGGGCAACAGAGTGAGACGCTGTCTCTAAATAAATAAATAAATAAATAGACTGTGAGACTTATAGGTGAGATAAATAATCTTTTCCCCCTACAACTCTCAGACTATGGTAAGTTCTGTGCCAGCAGTCTTTGAGTATTTACAGTGGCCTACTGTAATCTGATAGTCATTTCTCCTAAGGAAGGAAATTAGTGTTCTCATACCTCCATAGATATGAAGAATCTTAAAAAAGTAAGATCTAAGAAAAGGTGAGGAATGTCTTTCAAAGGGTCAAAGGACTGTTAGTCACAAGGAACTATTTTGACTGAAGCACAGAAGCAAGAGAAACACATGGTCTTCAAGCATGGTAAATCGAGAATATGGCTTTAGAAAAGAAGAAATGAATTTCTGATACATACACTATCTGTATCAGAAAGGATCGTACACCATCAATATAGACATTACAAAGAACCTTGTATGCCATGCTAAGGACTGTGTATATTAAAGCGAAGGAAAGCCACTGGAAGAATTTAAGCCTGGGAGTGACATAATCTTATTTGCATCTTAATGGAGAGTGGGACATTTTCAACTGATGCAATTGCAAGCAAGAGATGTTTAAGAAATAAAATTGAGGCCTGGGCGCGGTTACTCACGCCTGTAATCACAGCACTTTGGGAGGCCGAGGCGGGTGGATCACAAGGTCAGGAGATGGAGACCATCCTGGCTAACACGGTGAAACCCCTTCTCTACTAAAAATACAAAAAATTAGCCAGGCGTGGTGGCGGGCGCCTGTAGTCCCAGCTACTCGGGAGGCTGAGGCAGGAGAATGGCGTGAACCCGGGAGGCAGAGCTTGCAGTGAGCCGAGATGGCAGCACTGCACTCCAGCCTGGGCGACAGAGCAAGACTCCATCTCAAAAAATAAATAAATAAATTAATTAATTAATTAATTTAAAAAATTGAAAGAATCTGATGGCCAACCAAATGTGGGGAGAAGGAAAAAATAAAGACAACTCCTCGGATGACTCCAGGTTGCAGATCTGGGTGACTGGGTAATAGGTAGTGCTATTCATAGAAAGGGGAGAAAGTTTATCTCAAAATATGTTGCTTCAGAAAGTCCTTAAATGTTCTCATCTTATACCATTTTCTCACCCAGAACATCCCATGCACAAGCTCAGCATAGATGTCTCTAGTTGTCTCATTCCCATATATTCACTTCATACTCACGTTCCCACTCCCACCCCCATGCCAGTATTCCTTTTTTCTCCCAGGCTGTTGGTATACCACCCTGTCTCTCCCTCCACCTCAGGGCAGTTTCATACCCACAGCTCGGGATTGATCCAAGCATTTTCCTTCTGCTTTCTCCTCTCCTAGTTGCTGAGCAAGATTAGAAATAATTTCTATTGTAAAGCAGCAGGAAGCCATTGGAAAAATCTAAACAGAGGAATGGTATCATCTGATTTGTGCTGGAGTGCACTGGTGTGATCATAAGTCACTGCTGCCTCGACCTCCCAGACTCAAGTGATCCTCCATCCTCAACCTCCCGAGTAGTTGGAAGTACAGGTGCACGCCACACGCCTGGCTAATATTTGTACGTTTTGTAGAGGTGGGTCTCACTGTGTTGCCTGGGGCTGATCTGGAACTCCGGAGCTCAAGTGATCCTCCCTGCCTCAGACTCCCGAAGTAATTACAAGTATGAGCTGCTGTACGTGGCCTGATTTGTATTTTAAGGGGGAATAAGTAGGCAAATGGGTGAAGGCTTTTAGGGAGACTCTATCATTGCATTCACCAGCACATGAGACTCTATCACTGAGTCTCCATCACTGTGTTCACCACCACATACTTAGGATTTGCAACTGTCTTTTTTTTTTTTTTTTGAGATGGAGTTTTGCTCTTGTCGCCCAGGCTGGAGTCCAGTGGCGCAATCTTGGCTCACTGTAACCTCCACCTCCCAGGTTCAAGTGATTCTCATGCCTCAACCTCCCGAGTAGCTAGGATTACAGGTGCCCACCACCACACCCAGCTAATTTTTCTATTTTTAGTAGAGACGGGGTTTCACCACGTTGGCCAGGCTGGTCTCAAACGCCTGACCTCAGGTGATCCACCTGCCTCGGCCTCCCAAAGTGCTGGGATGACAGGCGTGAGCCACCGCGCCTCATCTCAACTGTCTTTGTATTATTTATCTGTGACCAGTTCCCTGGCCCACTGGCACAATGGCTGTTCTCAAACCTTGCTGCTCTCCTCAAGCCTCCCAGCAAATGTGCCCCACCCCACTCATGATTTGCAAACAACATTGGGTCCTCAAAAAGAAAATAAGAGTCATTAGGAACACTCTTCTACCCCCAGCCCACATACTCATCTATGTTCGCACTTTTCTTACTTCTTACCCACCTATCTCAGAGGAAGGTGGCATCTCTTTCTGCCACTCCTGATCTGTGCTCTAGGGAATCCACCCCTTCTGTTCTCTTTGGAGAATGGCTCTATCAATTATCCCCTCCTTCTCTGTACCTTCAAACTCTCAACTGACCATTCTTCTGTCTTTGGAAGAAAGAGAAGAAAATCATACACCGTCTGTATCAGAAAGGATTATTTTTGTTGTAAGAGAAACTATGTGAGTTAATGAAAACAAAGGGTTCATGATGGGTTAGTTTCACCCAGAACCAGATGGCTGGCTTTCCTTGAAACTTGAGAAGGATTTAGAACGAGGGCCTGTAAAGCCGGCAGCTCCTTCCTGTCTGCCCATTTCCACATCTGCAGCTTACTTCATCTGACTCTCCAGGCAGCAGCTCCCAACACTACCCAACCAACCGGAGAGGATGGGCTTTCTCTCTAGGCCCCAAATCTAAATTTCTTGGAGGAAGTATTGGCCCACCTTGGATGCTGTACCCCGCACAGAGGCCAATCAACTACAGTCAAGGAGGCAGCTGTGTACAAACATGGCTCCTGAGAGTCTGCCCCTGTGACCTTGTAGTTGGGAAATCTCTTAGCCAAGAAGGGGGACATGTGAGTTGGAAAAATTCCCCTCTGACTATTGCCAAATCTCCTTCCGTTGCTTTATATCTAAGACTCTTTAACAGCACAGTCTCCACTCCCTACTCCACAGTTTCTCCTCCCATTCATTCCAATATCCTCTGCATTCTGTTCTCCACTCTCTCCAACACCCCTGCTCCCTACCAACTGTTTCAGGAAGGTCACTTTCCAACGGCCAAACCCAAAGCACACTTTCAGTACTTGTTTTCCTGACGTCTCCTCAGCATTTGCCACTGTTTCCAAGTCTTTCCACCTGGGAAACTCATGCCACTTTCCTGCTTAAGATTCTTCAAGGGTTGGTCATTGCCTAAGCTATCATTTTTCAGCTTTCCCTAACTATGAAACCCTTTATTTAAAAGAAAAAGTATTTCACTGATGCCCACCATTAAGTAGGCAAAAGCAGAGTTGGTGAGGTTGAAACAGGAATGGGAGACCCAGAGCCTTGCCCGCCTGGCCCCACTGCCCACCCCCGGATGGCCCCTGTGTGGACTCCAAGGAGCACTCACAGCTCCACTGAGTATAGTTGGAAAACCACAGGTCTGTAGGATAAACACTGAATTTCTAATTTCACAAATAAGGTCCCTTCAATATCCAGCACCTGCCAACCTTTCCTGCCTTCTTTGCTGCCAGTCTCTCTACTGCAAATAGGTTCATCCATCCATGAAGGAGTTGAATGCTCTCGCTTGTTTCAGCGTGCCTCTCTCTCACGCCCACCTGGGTACACAATGTTTCTTCAGCCTGAATGGGCCTTCTCCCTTTTGTGGACCTGGTGAACTCCCCTTTATTATTTAAAATTTGGCTTAAATGGAATCTCCTCAGGTACTTTCCCATCACAGTGATGTGACTTTGGGATTCCGGTTGTTCTGTCACCTGTTGTACATAGTGTTGGAACAGGGTTCAGTTCAGTATTACAATTTGAGATTTTTATGTCTGTATACTTGCTAGACCTTCTGGGTGGTGATGTTATGTTCATTTCATCTTTGTAGCTCTAGAACCTAGCCCAGCACCTGATACTCTTAGGTGTCTTAGTCAGCTTTATGTTGCTTATAACAAAATCCCTGAATCTAGGTAATTTGTAAAGGAAAAGATTTATTTCTTACAGTTATGGAGACTGAGAAGTCCAAGGTCTTCTCGGGGGGCAGGCTGCACCTTGTGAGAACCTTCTTGCTGGTGGGGACTCCGTGGCGTCCCCAAGGTAGGGCAAGGGATCACGTGGTGAGAGGCTGAGCGTGCTAATGCTTGCTCAGGTTTCTCTCCTCTTTTTTTTTAATTTTCAAAGTTTATTTACTATTAATCATTTTTGAGACAGGGTCTCACTCTGTCACCCAGGCTGGAGTGCAGCGGCGTGATCACAGCTCACTGCAGCCTCATCCTCCAGGTCTCAAGCAATTCTTCCATCTAGGCTTCCAGAGTAGCTGGGACTATAGTTATGCACTACCACACTCAGCAAATTTATTTTTTTTATTTATGTTTTTGAGATGGAGTCTCACTCTGTTGCCCAGGCTGGAGGGCAGTGGTGCAATCTCAGCTCACTGCAACTTCTTCCTGCTGGGTTCAAGCGATTCTCCTGCCTCAGCCTCCCAAGTAGCTGGGACTACAGGCATGCGCCACCATGCCAGCCTAATTTTGTACTTTTAGTGGAGATGAGGTTTCACACTGTTGACCAGGCTGGTCTCAAATCCTGACCTCAAGTGATCTGCCCATCTTGGCCTCCCAAAGTGCTGGGATTACAGGCGTTAAGCCGCCACGCCTGGCTTCTAAATGTTTTGTAGAGACATGATCTTGCGTTGCCCAGGCTGGTTTTTAACTACTGCACTCAAACAATCTCCCACCGTGACCTCCCAAAGTGTTGGGATTACAGGCATGAGCCACCGGGCTCAGCCTCTTTTCTTCCCCTTCTTATGAAACCACCAGTTCCACTCTCTTGATGACCCATTAATCCATTAACGCATTAGTCCATTAGCCCATGAATCCATTCATGAGGGCAGAGCTCTCACTCTCCAACCACCTCTGAAATGCCCTTTCAATACTGCCAGACTGGGATTAAATTTCTAACACATGAGATTTAGGGGACACAGCCAAACCATAGCACTAGGTGCCTAATAAATATTGAATGAATAGATGTTTTCTTCTCCCAGTGTGATTCTGCTTCTGTAATTACTTGTGCACATGCGTACATTTACCTAACAGATGATACCTATCTGTTAGGGTGGCTGTTAGGATAAGATATAGATAACAGGGGCTGATTCATCAGTGGTTTACAACCGTAGAACAGAACTGTCTATATCATTTTCTGTGGTTATTGTTTGTTTGATTTAATATATATGAGTGGGTCCTACCTACTGAATCCAGTTTTCCAGGGGTGGGGCCTGGACATGAGTCTCACAGATGACTCTGAAGCCCAGCCTTCACAAGTGAAACTCAGGTGCTAACGTTCATTTTGTAACTCTAGGACCTAGCACAGAGACCAGCAACATAGTAGGTGCACACTAAATATAGGTGGAATTAAAATTGAAAGAAGTTTTCAACATTCAAAATGTGACCATTTTTATATCTAACAAGCCAAGAGGTTGAGGTAAGAAGGTAGGTTTAGGCTAAGGGGACCCAGACCACAATTTAGTTGGGTTCCTTATTGTTGGATCTGTGTGTGAGTGAACTCTGTTGCTTCTGCTTCCTTTTACCCCTGCCCCCCTTCCCGCTTTTATTACATAGTAAGGAAAAAATGTACTCCACCTAACTACAACCCCAAAAACTCAAAACACCCAGGTTTCTAAGAATTTGCTTCCTAATGTCTTGATTTGGCTGCAGCCTACCCTCTGGGAGCTCTTCTGAAAGTCTTCCTGTCTCATAACCATGACATTTAATTGACCCTCAAATCCTGTGAACTCTTTTCATGTGACAGCTCTTCCATTTGTGCCCTCTTTCCAAACCCCAGGGACATTGCCTTGATTCAGGCCTTTATTCTTCCTTGCCTGGATTACTCCAAATGGCATCCAGTTGGTCTCCCTGCCACAGTCTCACTCTCTCCAACTAAGCCTCTCTCTGCTACTAAAAACTACTTAGGGCCGGGCATGGTGGCTCACACCAGTAATCCCAGCACTTTGGGAGGCTGAGGCGGGTGGATCACTTGAGGTCAGGAATTTGAGACCAGCCTGGCCAATGTGGTGAAATCCCATCTCTACTAAAAATACAAAAATTAGCCAGACGTGATGGTGGGTGCCTGTTATCCTAGCTACCCAGGCAGCTGAGGCAGAAGACTCACTTGAACACAGGAGGCGGAAGTTGCAGTGAGCTGAGATCACACCACTGCACTCCAGCCTGGGTGTCAGAGCAAGACTCTGTCTCAAAAGAGAAAAAGAAAAAAAAAACTATATTAAAAGTCATTCTGGTTACTCATTTCCAGACTCAAAATGCTGTAGTGTCTGTAGTGTCTTCCCATTGTCTCCAGCACACAAGAGCGGTCACTGGCCTTTCTCACCAGCCCCATCTTCAATTCTGTCACCACCACCTCCAAAACGCCAATCATACGAACCATTTCAGCCATGGCCTTTCACAAGCACCAGAAACCAACTCTGGCTAGCTTAAGCAAGAAAAGCATTCCTTAAAATGCTGTTAGGTGTCCATAGAAGCTTTATTCATAATAGCCCCAAGCTGGAAACAATCCACATGTCCATCAACAGGTAAAAGGATAAACAAATTGCAGAACAATACTCAGCAATTAAAAAGGTAACCTGGGCAAATTCTAAAAACGTGACACCGAATGAAAGAAGCCAGACACGAGAGTATATATACTGCATGATTCCATTTCTATAAAATACTGGAAAACACAAAACTCATCTATAGTGACGGTAAACATATCAATGATTGTCTAGACGGGGCAGAGAAGGACTGACTACAGTGGGGTACGAGGGAACTTTTTGGGGTGATGGGATTGTTCTATTATCTTGATCATAGTGATAATTATACAGGCATAGACATTCATCAAAACCTATCAACTTACACATTTAAAATAGGTACATTTTAATTTGTAAACCATACCTCAGTAAATCTGATTATTTATTTATTTATTTATATTTTTTAGAGACAAGGTCTCCCAGTGTTGCCCAGGCTGGTCTGGAACTCCTGGGCTCAAGTGATCCTTCCACCTCATCTTCCCAAAGTGCTGGGATTACAGGTGTGAGCCATGATGCCTGGCAAAATTTGATTTTTTTTTTTTTTTTTTTGAGACAGTCTTACTCTTGCCAAGCTGGAGTCCAGTGGCACAATCTCGGCTCACTGCAACCTCCGACTCCCTAGTTCAAGCAATTCTCCTGCTTCAGCCTCGCAAGTATCTGGGATTACAGGCATGCACTACCATGCCCAGCTAATTTTTGTATTTTTAGTAGAGACAGGGCTTCACCATGTTGGCCAGGATAGTCTCGATTTCCTGACCTCGTGATCAGCCCACCTCGGCCTCCCAAAGTGCTGGGATTACAGGCGTGAACCACCGTGCCCAGCAAAATTTGATTTTTAAGAAATTATAAAAAGTCTATTAGGTAATTCCCAAGATCACCAGGAGGGTAGAGATCGAGGTTTGGGGTCCATGAAGACAGTGACAAGGCCTAAACCCACCAACTAGAACTAGTCCAGTGAAGATGCTATGCCTCTGCCACCCACTCCAGACATTACAGCCTGCACCATCATTAACCCAGGACACTGCCACCCTGAGCCATGCCACCGAGCCTTGGGCATCAACATGCCTCTTCCATTGTCGCCGCTTCTGTTGGATTCTGTGCAGCGGCTGCTCCTTCTGTTGTGGCTTGAGACCAAGTCTGGGGAGGGTGCTTTTCATTGACCAACCCTAGGTCACAATCCTACCTGTGTGTGAGGGCTGGGAGAGACGATGTAGCTTCCTGTTTTGAAAGTGGCAGGCTGACTCTGCTGTCTAAGTGGAGGATTCCCCAGGTATTCAGGGTGTTCAAAAGCAGGACGATTGTATTAGTTTACTAGAGCTGACATAACAAAATACCACAAACTAGGTGGCTTAAACAGCAGAAATGTATTTTCTCAAGGTTCAGGAGCTGAAAGGTGTTGGCGGTTTTGGTGTCTGCTGAGACCTTTTCCCTGGGTTTGCAGATAGCTGCCTTCTCACTGTGTCCTCCTGTGGCCCTTCCCTGTGTGCATCCTTGGTGTATCTGCTCCTCTTCTTATAAGGACACTAGTCATGTTGGATTAGCGCATCACCCACTGACCTCATTGGAACCTGAATTCCCTCTTCAAAGGCCTATCTCCAAATACTGTACAGTCACATTGGGGTTAGAACTTCAACCTATGAATTTTGGCACAGTTCAGTCCCTAACAGTGACCAAAAAAGGATGCCAATGTTCATTACCCTGATCTACTCTGATTTTCTCTTCTCTCTTTTTTTGTTTGAGACAGAGTCTCGCTCCATCACCCAAGCTGGAGTGCAGTGGTGTGATCTTGGCTCACTGCAGCCTCTGCCTTCTGGGTGTAAGCGATTCTCCTGTCTCAGCCTCCTGAGTAGCTGGGATTACAGGTGCCCACTACCACGCCCAGCTAATTTTTTTGTGTATTTTTGGTAGAGAGAGGGTTTCACCATGTTGGCCAGGCTGGTCTCGAACTTCTGACCTCAGGTGATCCACCCTCCTCGTCCTCCCAAAGTGCTGGGATTACAGGCATGAGCCACTGCACCCGGCCTCTACCCTATTTTCTTTTTCTTTTTCTTTCTTTTTTTTTTTTTCGAGATGGAGTTTTGCTCTGTCACCCAGGCTGGAGTGCAGTGGCGCGATCTTGGCTTACTGCAAGCTCCACCTCCCAGGTTCATGCAATTCTCCTGCCTCAGCCTCCTGAGTACCTGGGACTACAGGCGGCCGCCACCACGCCCGGCTTATTTTTTGTATTTTTAGTAGAGACGGGGTTTCACCATGTTAGCCAGGATGGTCTCGATCTCCTGACCTCATGATCTGCCCACCTTGGCCTCTCAAAGTGCTGGGATTACAGGCATGAGCCACTGCGCCCGGCCTGTTTGTTTGTTTTTTTTGAGTTGGAGTCTCGCTCTGTTGCCCAGGCTTGAGTGCAGTGGCACGATCTGAACTCACTGCAACCTCCGTCTCCTGGGTTCAAGCAATTTTCCTGCCTCAGCCTCCCGAGTAGTTGGGATTACAGGCACACACCACCACCCCCAGCTAATTTTTGTATTTTTAGTAGAGACAGGGTTTTGCCATGTTAGCCAGGATGGTCTCAATCTCTTCACCTCGTGATCCACCTGCCTCGGCCTCCCAAAGTGCTGGGATTACAGGTGTGAGCCACTGCACCCAGCCTGTTGGTTGGTTTTTAAGACAGAGTCTTGCTTTGTTGCCCAGGATGGAATACAATGGCTATCATAGCTCACTGCTCACTGCAGCCTTGAACTCTGGGCTGAAGCAATCCTCCTGCATCAGCCTCCTGAGTAGCTGGGTCTGGGTCTATAGGCATGCACCACCATGCCTGGCTAATTTTTGATTTTCTGTAGAGACAGGGTCTCACTACGTTGCACACTCTGTCTCCAACTCCTGGATGCAAGCAGTCCTCCCACCTTGGCCTCCCAAAGTGCTGGGATTACAGACATGAGCCACTGTGCCCGGCCATCATGAATTCTTTTTTTTTTCTTTTTTGAGATGGAGTCTCGTTCTGTTGCCCAGGCTGGAGTGCAGTGGTGCGATCTTGGCTCACTGCAAGCTCCACCTCCCAGGTTCACACCATTCTCCTGCCTCAGCCTCCTGAGTAGCTGGGATTACAGGCGCCCGCCACCACGCCTGGCTAATTTTTTTATATTTTTAGCAGAGACGGGGTTTCCCCGTGTTAGCCAGGATGGTCTCGATATCCTGACCTCATGATCCACCCGCCTCAGCCTCCCACAGTGCTGGGATTACAGGCGTGAGCCACCGGGCCCGGCCCGTGAATTCTTTAAAAGTAGGGACAGTGTCTTAGTTTTCAGTGTACCCTCAATGCCTAGAATAGTTTCTTGCACTGCAAACATTCTATAAGTATTGTTAAATTTGTTTCTGTACTCTTAAGTTCCTAAATACTATAGGTCACCTGAGCTAGAAGGAACCCAAAAGCATTATCTTGGTTTAGTGCCTTTATTCTACCGGTGAGGACGTGCACGTCTTCTTCCCCTATCACATGGTCGAGATAGAAGATGATGCCTTAGAAAATACTGCATGAGAATGTATACTCCCTGAGAGCAGAGACTGACTGCTTTTTTTCACCCTCATATCCCTATCATGTGGCATAGGGCCTGGCAAATAGTTAGGCTCAATTCATATTCAATATTTAATACACAACTAGCATGTCTGCCAGATATGAGGTTTCCTTATTGCTGAGAGGTGAGCAAATCCAAATCCTCCAGCCCTCCTTCTCACACACACAGTCCATGAGGAAATGCCTGTTCTAAAAAAAAAAGCCTGGCTTGCTGTGCTGCACAGTTCTGAAAGCGCTGGTTCATGAGAAGATAAGTTACCTTCAAAAACGAAACAGGAAACATGTATAAGAGGAAAACATTATGTAAGTATTGGTGAGACTCTGTGGATAGAGATTCTCATACACCCTATTGGTAGGATCATAGAACTTTTCTAGTTTGGCAATATATATCCAAATTTTAAATATGTATATCTTTTGAATTTATCCTCAGAAAAGGACAGGACAAATAATAAGGACACACACACACACACACACACACACACACACACACACACAGATATGGCTGTTTGCTGCAATGTTGTTTCTAGAGAAAAAAAAGATACATCCTAAATTTTTACTAATAGATTGGTTAAATGAATTACAGTATATCCATACAGTAGAATACCATGTAGAGCATGTAGTCCTACCAAAAAAAAAAAAAAGGTGGAGGGGGAAGGAAGTGAATCCAGTGTTAGCAGTGACTGTTTCTTTTGCTTTATTCCTTTTTTTGGGGTAAACAAGTAGACGGTTTTTATAATCAGAAAAAAAAATTCCAATTGAAAAAAAAATTTCAGACCTATTATTCCAAGAAAGGTAGACCCTGAAGAATTTCAAACTTTACCTATTTCTTTTAATCGCTTGTATCGTGCATGTCTCCTGAATTTTAAAAAATTAAATAATAACAAAGTTAAAATGAAAGTTAAAAAGTGAAAAACTTAGGAGGAGAGTAAAAAGTTATAATGAGAACCTAGGCTTTTTTGTTTTTTAGACAAAGAAAAAAGTAAAATGCACTGTGATGTTGTTCTAATTAACTGAGGAAAGAGCTCATACCAGTTTGTCAGGAAAGACAAACATTTTCTTCAGTTCCAAGAGAAAATGTGCTCACTTCAGCAGCACATATACTAAAATTGGAACGATACAGAGAAGATTAGCAATTCTCTTTAAAATAAATAAAAAATTTTAAAAAATAAATAAACCCAGAGGAAATTTTAAGACTTAACTTCTGTTCCTGTTACCTGTTAGCTGGCAAATATGCCCTTCCACTGGATCCTCACTTTCATGCTCAGTTCATGGCTTTGAAAGTGCTTACACAGGCCAGGCACAGTGGCTCACGCCTATAATCCCAGCATTTTGGGAAGCTGAGACGGGCAGATCACGAGGTCAGGAGATCAAGACCATCCTCGACAACGTGGTGAAACCCTGTCTCTACTAAAATATAAAAATTAGCTGGGCATGATGGCATGCACCTGTAGTCCCAGCTACTCGGGAGGCTGACAGAGGAATCGCTTGAACCTGGAAGGTGGAGGTGGCAGTGAGCCGAGATCGTGCCACTGCGCTCCAGCCTGGCCACAGAGCAAGACTCCATCTCAAAAAAAAAAAAAAAAAAAAAGGAAAAATAAAAAAGAAAAGAAAGTGCTTACACATAAGCATGCAATATTATCAAGGACATTTTGATATTTCCTTTGAGGAGGCACCAAATTACATACCTTATTTTAACTTTTTTTTTTAAATGTCGATATTACCAAATACAAAAATGAAGAGGTTTAATCCAAATATTAGGGAGCTTTAATTTTGTTGCTATTGTTTATTTTTTTAAAACTGTAAGAGTTTGCACATAGTACAAAGGGGCCTGCAGTGAATAGTAATTCCCCTTCCCACTGCTGCCGATGCCTGGGGCACTCAAGTCTCCTTAACTGCCAAAAGTCACCTACCACCTTCAACATGAACATGCACTGCTTTTCCTTTATCTGCCTTTTCCCTTGAACTGCCTCTAGATTCTTGGTGGAGGTGCTAGGGAAACATAAGGCAATAGAAATTAATTTGTCTATTTCTTCCTCTTCCGCCATCATGTGATCAAACTGGTACTGATCAATAAAGCCAAGCTGGCCACTTCTTTGCTGAAGTTAAAGCATTTCTTTAATTTTTATAAACAATAGGAATGGAGCCAAATATGACCCTTACAAGAAAAGATAAGCTCCCTACCCCACCTTACTAGAAAAGATAAGCTCCCTACCCCACCTTACTAGAAAAGATAAGCTCCCTACCCCAAACTACCTCATAAATATGGTTTGTAGATGCCTCATTCCTTAATCTCTTATAATGACAAGGTAGCTTGTTGTTGCTGTCATTATTGTTTAAAAAATGTGTGTGTTGAAGGGATGAATTTTACCTATTAGTCCCTTTGTAGACACTGTTCTATGTCATAGTACAAGTTTTATTACCATCATGACTTCAAAAAAAGTTTTTTAAAAAGGTTTTATTTCACCAGAAGAAGTATTCCTTTTTAAAATGTTCTAATGTTGACATTACTAATAACCCTTTGCACCAAAACAAATGCTTGCCAAAATGCTACAAGTCCAAAACTACACATTCAAAATACAAGATGTGGCCGGGTGCGGTGGCTCACGCCTGGAATCCCAGCACTTTGGGAGGCCAAGGTGGGTGGATCACAAGGTCAGGAGATGGAGACTGTCATGGCTAACACAGTGAAACCCCATCTCTACTAAAAAAAAAAAAAAAAATACAAAAAATTAGCCGGGCATGGTGGCGGGTGCCTGTAGTCCCAGCTACTCGGAAGGCTGAGGCAGGAGAATGGCATGGACCCAGGAGGCAGAGCTTACAGTGAGCCGAGATGGTGCCACTGCACTCCAGCCTGGGCGACAGAGTGAGACTCTGTCTCAAAAAAAAAAAAAAAATCAAAATACGAGATGTGGGCCAGGTGCAGTGGCTCAAGCCTATAATCCCAGCACTTTGGGAGGCTGAGGCAGGTGGATCACTTGAGGTCACGAGTTCGAGACCAGCCTGGCCAACATGGTGAAACCCGTCTCTACTAAAGATACAAAAATTAGTCGGCATGGTGGCGGGCACCTGTAATCCCAGCTACTCAGGAGGCTGAGGCAAGAGAAGCACTTGAACCCAGGAGGTGGAGGTTACAGTGAGCTGAGATTGTGCCACTGCACTCCAGCCTGGGCAACAGAGCGAGACTCCGTCTCAAAAAAAAAAAAATGTGTGTGCTCTGGGAATGCAATAGGAAGAATGATGTTTCAAGTTAGTAAAAATAGCCAGAGTGACGAATAAACTGTTAGAGAAATGGCAGAGTCCAGAAGTGCAAGGAGTTATCCACCCCCACCCTTGAGCCTTTGTGCCTCCAAGTGCACTGCTGTTCAGTGTGCTGTGATTTCTACATGACTGGCCACAACACAGTTAATCCAAAGAACAGAAATTGTCCGACTCCCCTGGTCCCAGCTCCCACTGCTCCGGATCCTCATGCTTCTGTCTCCTGGCTTTCTTAACTGCTCTCAGATAATTAGATTTGTTAGAGCAAAACTAATTGGTAGGCTAGTGCCAAGGGCATGCTGCCACTGACAAAGCAGGTGTGTAGCACCACTGCATTGGCTAAATTGCTCTGTACATGCAATTCGTCAGAGTCAACCCTTCCCTCCACCCGTGGAACAGCTGACCTGCCAGGCAACTATCTGGCAAAGAAGTTCAGCAGAGATGACCAGTGGGCATGTGGGCCTCCAATCTTTTGGTGATCATACCAGCCCTCACTTTCCTCCTCAGCTGATTCCATAATTGGCAGCTAAAAGGGGAGCCTGGGTAGGCAGGGGCATTGCCCACTGAGCTGTCGGCAGCTTGTTGATGTGACTCTCGAACACAGCAGAGGTGGGTGGCACTATGGAGATAAGCAATTCACACCTCCCCATACTTCCTCCCACTCCTTAACTTGGAAACACAAGGTGCTTTGGGATCTGGAATTGGCCTCCCTCAGCTGTTGTGCTATGACTTATGCTTTGCAAATGCTTCCTTAGGGCTGTCCCTTGAGGAGTGGTTAGGTTTTGCCTTGTAACTCACTGTATGTCGCAGCAAGACATTTAGCCACACACCAAAGCAGGGAGGATTTCCTACATCTAGAGTCATTGTCTTACAGAGCTATAAGAACTTCAAAGCTCCTGGAAAGGACTCGCCCAGGTTGGCACAACTAGCTTGCAGAACAAGAATTAGAACAGGTCCCATGAAGCAGCATTTCTTAAACTCGTGAAACTAGGAACCATAGGCAGGTATACATTTTACCTGATGAGCGATGAGTATGAGTATAAAATATACATATGGATAAATATATATACATATATTTATCCTCAAATATATATATATATATATATTTGAAACAGAAATGTCATACACATTACTTACCCTTTCTAAATCCTAATCCTATGTTCCACTTTCTATTCTTGTGTGGGGGATCTTTTTTTTTTGAGACAGAGTTTCACTCTTGTTGCCCAGGCTGGAGTGCAACGGCGCGATCTCGGCCTACTGCAACCTCAGCCTCCTGGGTTCAAGCGATTCTCCTGCCTCAGCCTCCTGAGTAGCTGGGATTACAGGCATGCACCACCACACGTGGCTAATTTTGTATTTTTGGTAGAGACAGGGTTTCTCCATGTTGGTCAGGCTGGTCTTGAACTCCTGACCTCAGGTGATCCGCCCGCCTTGGCATCCCAAAGTGCTGGCATTACAGGCGTGAGCCACCGTGCCTGGCCTCTTGTTGGGGATCTTTTAGCTGCTTTTGATCCACTAAATTGGTTTATGACCCATTAAAGAGTCACAACCTGAAGTTTAAAAAGCACGGTACAGGGCTGGGCACAATGACTCATGTTTGTAATACAGCACTTTGAGAAGCCAAGGCAGGAGGATTGCTTGAGCACAGGAGTTGGAGACCAGCCTGGGAAACATAGTAAGACCCCATTTCTAAAAAAAAATAAAACTAAGGCCAGGTGCGGTGGCTCACGCCTATAATCCCAGCACTTTGGGAGACCGAGATGGGCGGATCACGAGGTCAGGAGATCGAGACCATCCTGGTTAACACGGTGAAACCCCGTCTCTACTAAAAATACAAAAAATTAACTGGGCATGGTGGCAGGCGCCTGTAGTCCCAGCTACTCAGGAGGCTGAGGCAAGAGAATGGCATGAACCCGGGAGGTGGAGCTTGCAGTGAGCCGACATCGCGCCACTGCACTCCAGCCTGGGAGACAGCGAGACCCTGTCTGAAAAAATAAATAAATAAATAATAAATAAAAATAAAATAAAAATTTTTAAAAAAGTATCATACAGGGCTGGGTGCAGTGGCTCACGCCTGTAATCCTAATGCTTTGGACGACAAAGGTGGGAGGATCGCTTGAGCCCAGGAGTCCAAGACCAGCCTGGGCAACATAGGGAAACCCTGTCTCTACAAAAAAAATTTAAAGAAAAGTAGCCAGGGCATGGTGGTGCTGGCCTGTGTTTCCAGCTACTCAGGAGGCTGAAGTGGAAGGATCTTGAGCGCAAAGGGTCAAGGCTGCAGTGAACCAAGATTGCACCACTGCATTCCAGCCTAGGGAACAGGGTAAGACCCTTTCTCAAAAAACAAACAGAAAACTTAAGTCCTATCAAGTTAATCTTTTTAATAAAATTCCAGCATCTCCCTGTTGCTGGTAATAATACTAGCTAACACTCATGCCATGCTTACAATGTACCAGGTATTTTTTTTTTTTTTTGAGACGAAGTTTTGTTCTCATTGCCCAGGCTGGAGTGCAATGGCGCGATCTCGGCTCACTGCAACCTCAACCTCCAGGGCTCAAGTGATTCTTCTGCCTCAGCCTCCCGAGTAGCTGGGATTACAGGCATGCACCACCACACCTGGCTAATTTTAGATTTTTAGTAGAGATAGGGTTTCTCTGTGTTGGTCAGGCTGGTCTCGAACTCCTGACCTCAGGTGATCCACCCGTCTCAGCCTCCCAAAGTGCTGGGATTACAGGTGTGAGCCACAGCGCCCGGCCAAGTACCAGGCACTCTTCTAAACCACTTATTTATATTGAGCTTATCTATTCCTCACAATAGCCCTAGAACAAGCTTGTCCAACCCGTGGCCCGCAGGCCGCACGCAGCCCAGGATGGCTTTCAATGCAGCCCAACACAAATTTGTACGCTTTGTTAAAACAATATGATATTTTTTTTTTGCTATTATTTATTTATTTATTTATTTTTTTAACTCATCAGCTATCGTTAGTTTTAGTGTATTTTATGTGTGGCCGAAGGCAATTCTTCCTCTTCCAGTGTGGCCCAGAGAAGCCAAAAGATTGGACACCCCTGCCCTGGAGGTAGGGTTACTATCATACTCCTCTTAACAAAGATGGTGAGTAACAGCCCAAAGACACATAGCTGGTAAGAGACAGGGCCAGGATTTGAACCCAAGCAGCAGTGTAATTCCAGACTAAGCATTCTGGGCCAGAATTCTCCACAGTGGTTAACAGTGAATCCAACTGCTTAAAATAAGTTTCCAAGCCGTATCATGCTGCCTCTGTATGCTCCAGCCTGCTGGCCATTTGTATGACCTCATACTTGCTGTTCCCTATGTTTAAAACATGTCCCCTCTGCATTTGGTTAATTCCTACATGGGCTTCACTTCAGGTCCTCCCTTATTTCCTTATACTACCTGAGATATCCGTGTTCCCATAACACTCTCTCCTTTCTTCCTTCTCTGTCCCTCATTCATCCATTCAATTTTTTTTTTTTTTTTTTTGAGATGGAATCTCACTCTGTTGACAGGCAGGAGTGCAGTGGTGCAATCTTGGCTCACCGCAATCTCTGCCTCCCAGGTTCAAGTGATTCTCCTGTCTCGGCCTCTCGAGTAACTGGGATTACAGGCGCATGCCACCACGCCTGGCTAATTTTTGTATTTTCAGTAGAGATGGGGTTTCACCATGTTGGCCAGGATGGTCTCAATCTCCTGACCTCATGATCCGCCCGCCTTGGCCTCCCAAAGTGCCAATTACAGGCGTGAGCCACCGCGCCGGGCCCATCCATTCAATTTATTTGATAATAAATTATTTACTGAGCACTTATCCCATGCAAGGAGATATAGAAGCCACGAAGACAAAGTCCCTGCCCTTGTGAACTCATCTTTTCCGAAGGGAGAGTATGGAGATAATAAACGATTAAATAATATGTCAAGTGGTGTCAAGTGTTAACAAGAAAAGGCAGGGTTAGGTGGGCTGGACATGTGCCTATTTCATGTTGAGAGGTTGAGGAGGGGCTCATGGAGGAGGCGACATCCCAGCAGGGACCCAAGGAAGTAGGAGACAGCCTTGTGGACTTCTGGGGGAGGAGTAGTCCAGAAAGAGAGAACAGCCGGTGCAAAGACCCTGAGTGGAAAGAATGCTTGGATGGTCCAGGAATGGCCGTGTGGCTGGAGCAGAGTAAGCCAAGGGGACCTGGAGCAAATGAGTTCTGCAACATACTGGGATCCAGATGGCTTAGGGCCTTGGAGGTCACTTTGTCTTTTACCCTGTGTGAGCTGGGGAGCCGCTGGGGGATTCTGAGCAGAAGAGTGATGTATTAGTTTCTATTCCTGCTGTAACAAATTACCACAAATTTAGTGGCTTGGCCAGGCGCGGTGGCTCACACCTGTAATCCCAGCACTTTGGGAGGCCGAGGCGGATGGATCACAAGGTCAGGAGATCGAGACCATCCTGGCTAACACAGTGAAACCCCACCTCTACAAAAAATACTAAAAATTAGTTGGGCATGGTGGCGGGTGTCTGTAGTCCCAGCTACTTGGGAGGCTGAGGCAGGAGAATGGCATGAACCCAGGAGGCGGAGCTTGCAGTGAGCTGAGATCGTGCCACTGCACTCCAGCCTGGGTGACAGAGCGAGACTCCATCTCAAAAAAAAAAAAAAAAAAATTCAGTGGCTTAAAACAACACAAATTTATTATCTTACAGTTCCGGAGGTCAGAAGTTATCTCACTGGGATAAAATTGATATGTTGGCAGCGCTGCATTCCTCCTTCTGGAGGCTCTAGGGGAGAGGATGTTTCTTTGCCTTTTCCAGCTTCTAAAGGTTCCCTTGCTCCATCTTCGAAGCCAGCAACATTGCATTTCTCTGACTGTTCTTCTGTGGTCACGTCTCCCTCAGACCACACTCAGGAAAGGTTATCCACTTTTAAGAATTCATGTGATTAGGTTGAGCCCACCTGAATAATGCAGAATAATCTCCCTAGCTCAAGGTCCTTAATCACATCTGTGAAATTTTATTTTATTTTATTTTATTTTTGAGATGGAGTCTTGTTCTGTTGCCAGGCTGGAGTGCAGTGGCATGATCTGGGCTCACCACAACCTCCGCCTCCCAGGTTCAAGCGATTCTCCTGCCTCAGCCTCCTGAGTAGCTAGGATTACAGGCACCCGCCACCATGCCCAGCTAATTTTTGTACTTTTAGTAGAGACAGGGTTTTACCATGTTGGTCAGGCTGGTCTTAAACACCTGACCTTGTGATCTACCCACCTCAGCCTCCCAATGTGCTGGGATTACAGGCGTGAGCCACCGCACCTGGCCTGTGAAATCTTTTTGGCCATGTAAGGCAACACATTCATAAGCCCCAGGGATTAGGACACGGCCATGTTTGGTGATGGGGAGGGAGTATTCTGCCTATAGCAAGTGACATAATTTGAAGAGTTTTAACAGGATCACCTTTGGCTGCTCTATGGGGAATAAACTGTAGTGCAAGGGTGGAGGCAGGGAGACCGATCATTTAGGAGACTATTGGCATAATCCAGGTTCTCGAGAGTTGATCAAGGCCCAGACCAGGGTGCCAGTAGAAGAAGTGGCAGGATATGATCAACGTCTGGCCTTTTTCTGAAGGTAGAACTGACAGGATTTGCTGAGGGACTGGAGGTGGAGTGTGAGAGAAGAGGAGTCAAGGATAACTCCAAGACTGACCCTCCACCCCCTTACAGTACTTGACAGATGTCTCCTTTATTCAACTGTTCAACCGTCTTCCTTATTACCCCGAAAGTTCTGATGGAGAAGGCCCCAAATCTAGCTTGCTCACTGTTGTATCCTCACATCTATGAGTGCATGGAACATAGTAAAACAGTGCATAGCTACTACTTATTGAGCCATTATTATATGGTAGGCACTTTATGTACTCTTATTGAATAATCAGAACAGCCGGCCAGGCGCAGTGGCTCACACCTGTAATCCCAGCACTTTAAGAGGCTGAGGCGGGTGGATCATGAGGTCAGGAGTTCGAGACCAGCCTGGCCAACATGGTAAAACCCCGTCTTTACTAAAGATATAAAAAATTAGCGGGGCGTGATAGCGTGCACCTGTAATCCCAGCTATTCAGGGGGCTGAGGTGGGAGAATCGCTGGAACCTGGGAGGGGGAGGTTACAGTGAGTCGAGATTGCACTGTTGCACTCCAGCCTGGGTGACAGGTCAAGACTCCACCTCAAAAACAAAAAAAAAAAAATCAGCCTTATGAAGTAGTTACTATTATTATCCCCACTTACTAATTGAGGATACCAAGGCCCAGAGAGATTAAATGACTTATAACAGGAAATAGAAGGAGAACTGAGATTTAATCCACATTAAATACATAAATTCATTCAAATTAGCAAAAATTTGGGTTTATCTAAATATTCTGACTGCATATGAAATGGGACATGGGGAAAAGGATACAGATTTATAAACCTGTCAAAGTTTTAATCATAGAAGAATCATGTTAGGAAATAGCAAAAGTTAGAGCCACTAACTCAGAATTTTCAAACTCTGTAGTCAGTCTTACCTGTGGTTTGGTTGATGTAATGAGTGAAGCAGGCAGTAATTTCAGAAATGTTTTGTAACCACACTGGAGGCAAAGAAGAGAAAAACAGATGACATCAGAGAGACCATGCTGGTTCAGTGAAAAATGCCCAGATCTGATAGTGAAGGAGAGACTTTAGCCTCACTTTAGTCCCAACCACTTATTAGCCAATACATCTGAGGTATTGACTTCATCTCTCTGAGACCATCTCAACTCTAAAAGGGATATGATACTATCTGCCTTATCTACCTCATAGACTCTTGGGAGAAATTAAATTTATTTGTTCCATCAGTACAGAGCATCTATCATGTACCTGGCATTGCTGTAGACACCAGAGTCATGTCATGAACAAAACAGACAAAAAAGAAGGAAGTTTATTGGACTTACAGTTCCACGTAGTGGGGGAAACCTCACAATCATGGCAGGAGATGAAAGGCACGTCTCACATGGCAGCAGACAAGAGCAGAGGGCTTGTGCAGGGAAACTCCCCTTTTGAAAACCATCAGATCTGCTGAGACTTGTTCACTATCGTGAGAACAGCACGGGAAAGACCTGCCCCTGTGATTCAATTAACAGACAAAATCCTCACCTCCATGGAGTCTGCATTCTAGTGGAAGGGGAGATTGACAAAAACAAGAATAAACAAATAGATAATTTCAAGAGTGATAAATGCTACAAAGAAAAATAAAACAGGGTAGGGGGTTATAGAGTAATCAAGGAGGAGGTAACGCTGGACAGAAACATAAGGAAACTGAGTGAGCAAGTGATAGTAATGTGTGGAAAGGGAAATCCAGGCAGAAGAGACAGAGTGCTTTAAGCTCCTGCAGTGGGAATGAGCTGGGGCTATCTGAGGAATGGCAAAGAGTGAGCATGGCGAAAGAGTGATGGATGATGCTGGAGATGCAGGTCGGCCCCGATCATGCAGACCTTTGCTGGTCATGGTAGAGACCTTGGATTTTATGCATATCCCAGAAGATAATAGAAACACAAGTATGCAAAGAACAATACAAACAAATAGCAGATGAAAGAGGCATAATGTGGACTTAGGTGGCAACACTGGCACACCTGCTTCAAGAGCACAGGCTCCAGAGGCTACCTGGGTTGGAATCTCGGATGCACCAGTACCTAGTGGTGGCACCTTGTAAAGGACCTGTGTGATATAGTTTGGCTGTGTCCCCACCCAAATCTCATCTTGAATTCCCATGTGTTGTGGGAGGAACCCTGTGGGAGGTAATTGAATCGGGGGCAGGTCTTTCTCATGCTGTTCCTGTGAT
This sequence comes from Homo sapiens, assembly GCF_000001405.40. Classification (NCBI taxonomy): domain Eukaryota; kingdom Metazoa; phylum Chordata; class Mammalia; order Primates; family Hominidae; genus Homo; species Homo sapiens. The sequence goes on from NC_000003.12 coordinate 195,469,435, forward strand.
AGTGAACAAGTCTCAGGAGATCTGATGGTTTTAAAAAGGGGAGTTTCCCTGCACAAGCTCTCTTCTCTTGTCTGCTGCCATGTGAGATGTGCCTTTCATCTTCTGCCGTGATTGTGAGGTCTCCCCAGCCACGTGGAACTGTAAGTCCAATAAACCTCTTTCTTTTGCATATTGCCCAGTCTTGGGTATGTCTTTATTAGCAGCTTGAAAACGGACTAATACACTATGTCATATCAAGTTTTCATTGTACAGTTGTCCCTCATGTCTGCAGAGGATTGATTCCAGGACCTCCTGTGATACCAAAATCTGCAGATGTTCAAGTTCCTGATAAAAAAAAAAACATGGCATAGCACTGTATTTGCATATAACCTAAGCACATTCTCCCTTATACTTTATTTTTAACTTTTATTTTATTTTCCATGACAGGGCATCACTCTGTCACCCAGGCTGGAGTACAGTGATGCAATCATGGCTCACTGCAGCCTCAACCTCCTGGATTCAGGCGATCCTCCTGCCGTGGCCTCCCAAAGCACTTGGATTACAGGCATGAGCCACCGTGCCTGGCTCCCATGTACTTTAAATCATCTTGAGGGGGGAAGTATAAGTAATCTTGAGATTACTTATACTGCCTAATACAATGTGATGCTATGTGAATAGTCATTATCATGTATTGTTGAGGGAATAATGATAAGAACAAATGTCTGTACATGTTTAGTACAGATGTAATTTTTTTTGCAAATATTTTTTACCCAAGGTTGGTTGAATCCATGGATGTGGAACCCAGGAATACAAAGGGCCAATTGTATTTGTTAACTTTCAGGGGAAATGATTATAGTCACAGTAAAACCTAATACATGTAGTGACATGGTGGTGCTACTGTGGCCAACTTTGTATCATAAAAAGGCATCCTCTGTTTTCAATGGTGTAATGTGGTTCCATATCCACAAATTCACCCTATTTCATATTTTTGTAAGTTCTCCTTTACTTTCACAATACTTAGTAAAATCTTGTTGTTGCTGTTTGAATGTAAGAAGAAAATTAGAGTAATGTCCAACTGAAGCAAACCAAATTAAGAACAAAGCTATTCTAAACCCCAGCTGCCAACCAGCTATCCAGTCACCTACCTTAAATTGTTGTCTTGGAATTGAATAGCAGCCAAAACCAAATTATCTTCAAAGCTGGATTAAGATGCACATGGATAATAAAATTCTATTAAATAAGCCTTCCCATATCAATAAATAGCTTGAAAGGAAAAAAGCAGATGAAAAATCCCTGGGAGTTTATAAAAACTTGGCAGAGATATTTGTCATTTGGGTTATGCAAGAAACTATCCTGATAATAAGTACACTGATAAAGTCCTTGTGTAGAGCATATTTTACCAGCATTTGAAAAATATGTAAAAATGTTTTTGTTTTATTTTTAACCTTTCTAAATCCAGGGACCCAGGGCCTTCAAGAAGCTATTTTTGGTGATGGTACAATGTTCTGACACCTTTTACTGAGCAAAATTGACACATCTGTTGAAATTAACATTTGTATCTCCATGGACCGATATGTCAGTAAAAAATATAAAATATCACCATGTTTCCGTGCTAACCAGCATTTGGAAACAGAGGGCTCTTCAAACCAAACTGTTCCAGTCCCCTTGAGACAGGATCCAAGTATCAACAATTTAGCACTGATCCCCATCACCTTTGAATATTCTAAGACCACAGGGTAGATAAACTCAGCTCAAACTAAATGGAATAGAAGTTTCTGTGGTAGGCCGAATCCCATCTGTTAGAATCTACATATACCTTGCATCCTTGCGTACCTTGACAATCCAGCAAGTTTGCTTTGTGTCCAGATCTAGAGAAAAGAGAGGAAGAGCAGCGTAGCTGGAATATTTTCTTACATCCAATCGAGAAAAAATCCAAGGCATTGGAATCTATGCAACCTTCTTCTTGGTCCGTGCATTTACATCCAGCTGTAGATGAGCAATAGGGATCCCTCATTACAGACTGGAATCACATACTAACGCTTCACTAGTTACTATACCTAAAGACTTGAGAATAATTAAACATTCATCGTGGACCTTCCTATGAGTTAGAAAATATATAAGAAAGATGTGATTAGTTCAGGGAAAGAGAGGACAGGTATACATAATTTTACAATGCAGAGCAGCAGATGCCATATGGGAGAAATAAACATAAAATAATAATAGGGATTCAAAGGAAAAAAATCACATACAAAAAAGCTTAATGTAGGAGGTGGAATTTGACCTAAAAGGCAGAAAATACCAGAACATTAGAGAGTTGCTATTCAGAGAAAAGAAAAAGAAAGTAATAAAACAAGAGCTGTGATAGAAAAAAAAGAACAGCTGAGCTTCACTCAAACCCAGGGGACATGTAGAGGGCGGAAAGAAACATGGCTTGGAAAGATGCTTGTGGACCAGGGCCACAGTATAAAGGACCTAAGGGCAAATGAAGTTTTGATTTTATCCTGCGATCTATAGGGAGCCACAAGTGGTAAAACTGGGAATATTTTAGTGTATGATTACATTTGTTTTAAAAAGATAATAATATCCAGGAATATCCTGGATAATAATATCCAGGATTAGCGAGGGTGACAAGAGGAGGGACTGAAAAAGACTAATTGGGGGGTGGGTAGTAAAGGATCGAAGAAAGAGTAGATACCGAGCAGCTAGACAAGGACAGATTCGAGGGTCATTTTGATGGTAATGTTGACAGAGCTTAGTAACCTGTAAAATGTAGGCGTGAGGGTAAGAAGAAGAGCAAAGATGACCCGGTGCATAGCGCGGGTGTCAGGAAGACACTCCTCCACGGTTTTGGCATTATTTGGTGGGGAAAGTTTGAGTTTAGTTTTGTCCACATGGAGTTTAAACAAAACAATGTAAACTTAAGACCTGTTTTTTCTCAGATATCCTTTTGAAAAATTTTGCTTTGACTGCTGAGCTCCAAAATTAGCTCTGAGCTGTCTAGCTCTGTGCTCAAGTGTTTTGTTATGGGGCGTTGGAATATCGCCTTCCTACAAGACCTGCCATTTTACTGTCCAAAATTTCATGTAACAAAAAATAGGGGGTGGTGATTTAAAATTTTTTAGTAGCTTTTTTTTTTGCCACCAGTAGTTATTTTAATTTGCATTATAACTAAAATTTGGATGCAATCCCTATTGTTAATAAGATGTCTGAACAAAGAACCATAAAGTTTGGGGTTCTAACAATATATACCAAAGCCTCTGACTCTGAAAAAGATTTCAGTTGTTGTGCCATCTGCTTGGAAACTAATTAATGGTTTAAAAATAGATGAACTTTTGAAGGCAAATAACATGAAAATAATGGAAAATATTAATATAGATCTCATAAACCTACAGCATAGAAAACAGTGATGTGTTTTAGGTATTGCATTAAGGAAAAAACCAGGCTGAGAAGATGCCACTATGAAATGCTTAACACTAGGGCTGGGTGCGGTGGCTCACACCTGTAATCCCAGCACTTTGGGAGGCTGAGGCGGGCAGATGATGAGGTCAGGAGTTCGAGACCAGCCTGGCCAACATGGTGAAACCCCGTCTCTACTAAAAATACAAAAATTAGCCGGGCATGATGGTGGGCGCCTGTAATTCCAGCTACTCAGGAGGCCGAGGCAGGGAGAATTGCTTGAACTTGGGAGGCGGAGGTTGCAGTGAGCCGAGATTGCGCCACTGCACTCCAGCCTGGGCGACAGAGGAAGACTCCGTCTCGGAAAAAAAAAAAGAAAAAGAAATGCTTAACATTATGTGCATAGTATAATATGCACAGCTTTAGTGCCTACAGAAGCATAGGGAAAAAATAACATGCACAGATAAGGAGGTAGCTGATTCAAAGAACAGGAAAGCAGGATGATTGGTTGCCTGCCTGCCTGCCTGCCTTCCTTCCTTCCTTCCTTCCCTCCCTCCCTCCCTCCTTCATTCCTTTTTTTTTTTTTTTTTTTTTTTTTTTTTTTTGCCAGAGTCTCGCTCTGTGGCCCAGGCTGGAGTGCAGTGGCCTGATCTCCGCTCACTGCAAGCTCCGCCTCCCGGGTTCACGCCATTCTCCTGCCTCAGCCTCCCGAGTAGCTGGGACTACAGGCGCCCGCCACCAAGCCCGGCTAATTTTTGTATTTTTTTTTTTAAGTAGAGACAGGGTTTCACCGTGTTAGCCAGGATGGTATCGATCTCCTGACCTCGTGATCCGCCCGCCTCGGCCTCCCAAAGTGCTGGGATGACAGGTGTGAGCCGCCGCGCCCAGCTTGGTTGGGTACTTTCATAATTCTTTTTTCAAACTTATTACTGGTGATTAATTTTTAAACAGTATCTAGTAATGTGAGCACTCGTCCTATTTATGAGGTGAAACTTCTCATATCCTATACTTAATAATTTCTAAAATATAAACATACAAATCCCTGCCGTATCTTGTCTATTCTGTCTCTGTCTTCGTTTTCTTTTTTCTTTTCTTTCTTTCTTTCTTTCTTTTTTTTGAGACGGCCTCTCTCTCTGTCGCCCAGGCTGGAGTGCAGTGGCGCAACCTCAGCTCCCCGCGATCTCCGCCTCCCGGGTTCAAGCGGTTCTCGTGGCTTAGCTTCCCGAGCAGCTGGTCTCAAACTCCTGGCCTCATGTGATCCCCCCTCACCCGCCTTCCAAAGTGCTGGGATTACAGGCGTGAGCTACAGTGCCCGGCCTCTGTCTTCACTTTCACAACTAAACTTTTTAAACAAGCTACCTATACATGCAGTATCCCTTTCCACACCTTCCACTCATTCCTCAGCCCCGTGCAATGTGGCTTGCTACCCTCAAAAGGCCAATGAGGACACTCTCACTAAGATCACCAGTGATCTAGGTGACCCTGAATCTAGCGAAGTCTTTCTCATGTTAGCTCTGTTGTTTTGAGGATTAAATGAACTAATTCATGTAATACGCTTAGTAGAGTATCTGAAATGTTCAAGATACGTTCTAAACTTCTATCTTGTATTGGTCTATCCACATCTTCTGAATATAGGTAAATCCAGCAAGTGGATCTTTTTGTCATTTAAAAAACTTGAAGTAGGCTGCACATGGTAGTTCATGCCTGTAATATCAGCACTTTGGGAGGCTGAGGCAGGAGGTTCACTTGAGGCCAAGAGTTTGAGACCAGCCTGGCCAACATGGCGAGACATCGTCTCTACAAAAAATTTTAGAAATTAGGCGTGGTGGTGTGCACCTGTGGTCCCAGCTACTCTGGAGGTTGAGGCAGGAGGATCACCTGAGCCTGGGAGGTTAAGGCTGCAGTGAGCTGTGATTGCACCACGCATTCTAGGCTGGGAGACAGAGTGAGACCCTGAAAAAGAAAGAAAGAGAGAAACAGAGAGAAAGAGAAGGTGGGGGAGGGAGGGAGGGAAGGAAGGAAGGAAGGAGAAAGAAAGAGGAGGAAAGGAGGGAAGGAAGAGAGAGAGGAAGGAGAGGAGAGGAGAGGAGAGGGGGGGAGGGGAGGAGAGGAGAGGGGAGGAGGGGAGGGGAGGGGAGGGGAGGGGAGAGGAGAGGAAAAGTCGACCGGGTGCGGTGCTTAAGCTTGTAATCCCAGCACTTTGGGAGGCTGAGGTGGGTGGATCACTTAATGTCAGGAGTTCAAGACCAGCCTGGCCAATATGGCAAAACCCCGTTTCTAATAAAAATACAAAATACAAAATTTAGCCAGGCGTCTTGCTGCATGCCTGTAATCCCAGCTACTCAGGAGGCTGAAGCAGGAGAATCACTTGAACTCGAGAGGCACAGGTTGCAGTGAGCCCAGATTGCACCACTGCACTCCAGGCTGGACAACAGAGTGAGACTCTGTCTCAAAAAAAGAGGCCTGGCGGGGTGGCTCATACTTGTAATCCCAGCACTTTGGGAGGCCGAGGTGGGCGGATCGCTTGAGGACAGGAGTTCAAGACCAGCCTGGCCAACATGGTGAAACCCCATTTCTGCTAGAAATATTAAAAAATTAGCCGGGCATGGTGGCAGGCACCTGCAATCCCAGCTACCTGGGAGGCTAAGGCAGCAGAATAGCTCAAACCCAGGAGGCAGAGGTTGTAGTGAGCCAAGATCACGCCATTGCAATCCAGCCTGGGCAACAAGAGCAAAACTCCATCTCAAACAAACCAACAAACAACAACCAAAAAGTCATCACATTTTTACTCACTTGCATTTACATAAAAAATCTAGAAGATCTCGAAAAGAAGAATACACCCTTCTGTTTTAATTTTTTAAATTAACAAATAAAATTATATATTTATGGTATGTACACACATTTTTGATTTATGTATATACATCGTGGAATAGTTAAATCAAACTAACACATCCATCACCTCATATACTTAGTTTTTCATCCTAAGAACATTTAAAATCTGCTCTTTCAGCAATTTTCAAGTATATAAAACACTGTTATTAATTTTTTTTTTTTTTTTTGAGACAGGGTCTCACTCTGTCCCCCAGGCTGGAGTGCAGTGGCACAATCATAACTCACTTCAGCCTTGACCTCCTAGGCTCAAGCAACCCTCCCGCTTCAGCCTCCCAGGTAGCTGGAACTACAGGCATGTACCACCACACCCAGCTCATTTTATTTTTTATGTTTTAGAGACAGCGTCTCACCATGTTACTTAGGCTGGTCTTGAACTCCTGGCCTCAAGTGATCCTCCTACCTCGGCCTTCCAAAGTACTGGGATTACAGGGGTGAACCACTGCACCCAGCCAAAACACTGTTATTAACTATAGTCACCATATTTAACAACAGATTACCCCAAGTTATTCCTTCATCTAACTGAAACTTTATGTCCTTTGACCAACATCTTTCCAACCCCAAACCCCAGCCACTGGCAACCATCATTCTACTCTTTTTTTTTTTTTTTCCAGACAGAGTATTACCCTGTCACCCAAGCTCTTTTTTTTTTTTTTTTTTTTTGAGGCGGAGTCTCACTCTGTCACCCAGGCTGGAGTGCAGTGGCACGATCTCAGCTCACTGCAAGCTCTGCCTCCCGGGTTCACACCATTCTCCTGCCTCAGCCTCCAGAGTAGCTGGGACTACAGGTGCCCATCACCATGCCCGGCTAATTTTTTTTTTGCATTTTTAGTAGAGACAGGGTTTCACCATGTTAGCCAGGATGGTCTTGATCTCCTGATCTCATGATCCTCCCGACTTGGCCTCCCAAAGTGCTGGGATTACAGGTGTGAGCCACCACGTCTGGCCCATTCTACTCTTTACTTCTGAGTTTGACTTTTTTAGATTCCACACGTAAGTGGGGTCATGCAGTATTTGCATTTCTGTGCCTGGCTTATTTCACTTAACATATGTCCTCCACGTTCATCCATGTCCTTGCAAATGACAGCATTTCTTTTTTAAGGCTGAATAATATTCCACTGTGTATATACACCACATTTTCTTTATACATTCAACTGTTGGTGGACACTTACATCTCTTCAACATACCAGTTTCATTTGCTTTGGATATATACCCAGAAATGGAATTGCTGGATCATACAGTAGTTCTATTTTTAATTATTTGAGGAAGCTTCATATGGTTTCCCATAATGGTTGTACCAATTTATATTCCCCAAACAGTTTACAAGGGTTCTCTTTTCTCCACATCCTCATCAACATTTATCTCTTATTTTTAATTCTTCAGAGAATTCTCATCAACATATGTAATACTATTTTTCCAGAATCTGGGCAAAAAAGAAAGCTAAGTGTTCAAAGTATAGTTCTCAAAATTCATTCAAGAGAAAGAAAACAAGCCACATACTGGGAGAATATATTTGCAAAAGATTTATATGATAAAGGACTGTTATTCAACATATACAAAGAACTCTTAAAGCTCAACAATAATAAAACAACCAGCTGGGCATGGTGGCTCACGCTTGTGATCCCAGCACTGTGGGAAGTGTGAAGATTGCTTCAGCCCAGGAGTTGGAGACCAGCCTGGGTAACATAGTGAGACCTTGGCTCTACAAAAAAATCTAAAAATTGGCTGGGTGTGGTGGCTCACATTTGTAATCCCAATAGTTTGGGAGGCTGAGGTGGGAGGATTGCTTGAGCTCAGGAGTTTGAGACCAGCCTGGACAACATGGTGAAACCCCATCTCTACAAGAAAAACAAAAATTAGCCAAGCACAGTGGCGCATGCCTGTAGTTCCAGCTACTTGGGAGGCTGAGGTGGGAGGATTGCTTGAGTCTGGAGGTTGTGGGTGTGCAGTGAGCCGTGATTGTGCCACTGTACTCCAGTCTGGACGACAGCAAGACCTTGTTTCTTAAAAAAAAAAAAAAAAGCTCCACATCACATATCATCTGGGAAATGCAAATCATTAGTGTGGCTAAAAACCAGAACACTTACAACACTAAATGCTGACAAGGATGTGGAGCAATAGGAACTCTCATTTATTGCTGGTGGGAAAATGGTTCAGGTGCATTGGAAGATAGCTTGGCAGATTCTTACAAAACTAAATAAAACTCTGACTGTATGATCCAGCAACTGCACTCCTTTGTATTTACCCAAAGGACCTGTACACGTTAAAACCTGTACACAGATGTTTGCAGCAGCTTTATTCATAATCTCCAAAACTTATAAGCAACCAAGATGTCCTCCGGTGGATTAATGGATAAACTATGGTATATACCGAAAACGGAATAACACTCAGTGTTAAAAAGAAATGAGCTATCCAGCCATGAAAAGATACGGAGGAAGCTGAAACGCATATTACTATGTGAAAGAAGTCAATCTGAAAAGGCTATATACTGTATGATTCCAACTAGAGGACATTCTGGAAAAGGCAAAATTATGGAACTAACAAAAAGCCCAGTGGTTGCCAGGGGTTGGGAGGAGGAAGGAATGAATCAGTGGAGAGGATTTTTAGGGCAGCGAAGCTCCTCTGTATGATATCACAGTGGTAGATATAGTGAAGCTCCTCTGTGTGATATCACAGCGGTAGATACAGGGAAGCTCCTCTGTGTGATATCACAGCGGCAGATATAGTGAAGCTCCTCTGTGTGATATCACAGCGGCAGATACAGTGAAGCTCCTCTGTGCGATATCACAGTGGCAGATACAGTGAAGCTCCTCTGTATGATATCACAGTGGTAGATACAGTGAAGCAGCTCTGTATGATATCACAGTGGTAGATACAGTGAAGCTCCTCTGTATGATATCACAGTGGTAGATACAGTGAAGCTCCTCTGTGCGATATCACAGTGGCAGATACAGTGAAGCTCCTCTGTGTGATATCACACTGGTAGATACAGTGAAGCAGCTCTGTATGATATCACAGTGGTAGATACAGTGAAGCTCCTCTGTATGATATCACAGTGGTAGATACAGTGAAGCTCCTCTATGCGATATCACAGGGGTAGATACAGGGAAGCTCCTCTGTGTGATATCACAGTGGCAGATACAGTGAAGCTCCTCTGTGCGATATCACAGTGGCAGATACAGTGAAGCTCCTCTGTGTGATATCACAGTGGTAGATACAGTGAAGCAGCTCTGTATGATATCACAGTGGTAGATACAGTGAAGCTCCTCTGTATGATATCACAGTGGTAGATACAGTGAAGCTCCTCTGTGCGATATCACAGTGGCAGATACAGTGAAGCTCCTCTGTGTGATATCACAGTGGTAGATACAGTGAAGCAGCTCTGTGTGATATCACAGTGGTAGATACAGTGAAGCTCCTCTGTATGATATCACAGTGGCAGATACAGTGAAGCTCCTCTGTGCGATATCACAGGGGAAGATACAGGGAAGCTCCTCTGTGTGATATCACAGTGGCAGATACAGTGAAGCTCCTCTGTGCGATATCACAGTGGTAGATACAGTGAAGCTCCTCTATGCGATATCACAGTGGCAGATACAGTGAAGCTCCTCTGTGCGATATCACAGTGGTAGATACAGTGAAGCTCCTCTGTATGATATCACAGCGGTAGATACAGGGAAGCTGCTCTGTGCGATATCACAGTGGTAGATACACTGAAACTGCTCTGTATGATATCACAGTGGTCGATATAGTGCAGCTCCTCTGTGCGATATCACAGGGGTAGATACAGTGAAGCTCCTCTGTATGATATCACACTGGTAGATATAGTGAAGCTGCTCTGTGTGATATCACAGTGGTAGATAGAGTGAAGCTGCTCGGTATGATATAACAGTGGGAGATACAGTGAAGCTGCTCTGTATGATATCAACAGTGCAGCTGCTCTGTATGATATCACAGTGGTAGTTATAGAGAAGCTCCCCTGTATGATATCACAGTGGTAGATATAGTGAAGCTGCTCTGTATGATATCACAGTGATAGATACAGTGAAGCTCCTCTGTGTGATATCACAGTGGTAGATATAGTGAAGCTCCTCTGTGTGATATCACAGTGGTAGATATAGTGAAGATCCTCTGTGTGATATCACAGTGGTAGATATAGTGAAGCTCCTCTGTATGATATCACAGTGGTAGATATAGTGAAGCTCCTATATATGATACCACAGTGGTAGATATAGTGAAGCTCCTCTGTGCGATATCACAGCGGCAGATACAGTGAAGCTCCTCTGTATGATATCACAGTGGTAGATACAGTGAAGCTCCTCTGTGCGATATCACAGTGGTAGATACAGTGAAGCTCCTCTGTATGATATCACAGCGGTAGATACAGGGAAGCTGCTCTGTGCGATATCACAGTGGTAGATACACTGAAACTGCTCTGTATGATATCACAGTGGTCGATATAGTGCAGCTCCTCTGTGCGATATCACAGGGGTAGATACAGTGAAGCTCCTCTGTATGATATCACACTGGTAGATATAGTGAAGCTGCTCTGTGTGATATCACAGTGGTAGATATAGTGAAGCTGCTCTGTATGATATAACAGTGGGAGATATAGTGAAGCTGCTCTGTATGATATCAACAGTGCAGCTGCTCTGTATGATATCACAGTGGTAGTTATAGAGAAGCTCCCCTGTATGATATCACAGTGGTAGATATAGTGAAGCTGCTCTGTATGATATCACAGTGGTAGATACAGTGAAGCTCCTCTGTGTGATATCACAGTGGTAGATATAGTGAAGCTCCTCTGTGTGATATCACAGTGGTAGATATAGTGAAGATCCTCTGTGTGATATCACAGTGGTAGATATAGTGAAGCTCCTCTGTATGATATCACAGTGGTAGATATAGTGAAGCTCCTATATATGATACCACAGTGGTAGATATAGTGAAGCTCCTCTGTATAATATCACAGTGGTAGATATAGTGAAGCTCCTCTGTATGATATCACACTGGTAGATATAGTGAAGCTGCTCTGTGTGATATCACAGTGGTAGATATAGTGAAGCTGCTCTGTATGATATAAAAGTGGGAGATATAGTGAAGCTGCTCTGTATGATATCAACAGTGCAGCTGCTCTGTATGATACCACAGTGGTAGTTATAGAGAAGCTCCCCTGTATGATATCACAGTGGTAGATATAGTGAAGCTGCTCTGGATGATATCACAGTGGTAGATACAGTGAAGCTCCTCTGTGTGATATCACAGTGGTAGATATAGTGAAGCTCCTCTGTGTGATATCACAGTGGTAGATATAGTGAAGCTCCTCTGTGTGATATCACAGTGGTAGATATAGTGAAGCTCCTCTGTGTGATATCACAGTGGTACATATAGTGAAGCTCCTCTGTATGATATCACAGTGGTAGATACAGTGAAGCTGCTCTGTGTGATATCACAGTGGTAGATATAGTGGAGCTGCTCTGTATGATATCACAGTGGTACATATAGTAAAGCTCCGCTGTACATCACAGTGGTAGATAAAGTGAAGCTCCTCTGTATGATATCACAGTCGTAGATATAGTGAAGCTCCTCTGTGTGATGTCACAGTAGTAGATATAGTGAAGCTCCCATGTATGATATCACAGTGGTACGTATAGTGAAGTTCCTCTGTGTGATATCACAGTGGTAGATTTAGTGAAGCTCCCCTGTATAATATCACAGTGGTAGATATAGTGAAGTTCCTCTGTGTGATATCACAGTGGTAGATATAGTGAAGTTCCCCATATGATATCACAGTGATAGATATCGTGAAGCTCCCCTGTATGATACCACAGTGGTAGATATAGTGAAGATCCTCTGTGTGACATCACAGTGGTAGATATAGTGAAGATCCCCTGTAGGATATCACAGTGGTAGATATAGTGAAGCTGCTCTGTGTGATATCACAGTGGTACATACAGTGAAGCTCCTCTGTGTGATATCACAGTGGTAGAAATAGTGAAGCTCCTCTGTATGATATCACAGTGGTAGATATAGTGAAGCTCCTCTGTGTGATATCACAGTGGTAGATACAGTGAAGCTGCTCTGTATGATATCACAGTGGTAGATATAGTGAAGCTCCTCTGTGTGATATCACAGTGGTAGATACAGTGAAGCTTGTCAGTGTGATATCACAGTGGTAGATATAGTGAAGCTGCTCTGTATGATATAACAGTGGTAGATATAGTGAAGCTCCCCTGTATGATATCACAGTGGTAGATACACTGAAGCTGCTCTGTATGATATGACAGTGGTAACTATAGCACAGCTCCTCTGTGTGATATCACAGTGGTAGATACAATGAAGCTCCTCTGTGTGATATCATAGTGGTAGATATAGTGAAGGTCCCCTGTATGATATCACAGTGGTGGATATAGTGAAGCTCCTCTGTATGATATCACAGTGGTAGATATAATGAAGCTTCCCTGTATAATATCACAGAGGTAGATATAGTGAAGCTGCTCTGTATGATATCACAGTGGTAGATATAGTGAAGTTCCTCTCTGTGATATCACACTGGTAGATACAATGAAGCTGCTCTGTATGACATCACAGTGATAGATATAGTGAAGCTCCTCTGTGTGATATCACACTGGTAGATACAGTGAAGCTGCTCTGTATGATATTACAGTGGTAGATATTGTGAAGCTCCTCTGTGTGATATCACAGTGGTACATACAGTGAAGCTCGTCTGTGTGATATCACAGTGGTAGATATAGTGAAGCTGCTCTGTATGATATAACACTGGTAGATACAGTGAAGATCCCCTGTATGATATCACAGTGGTAGATACACTGAAGCTGCTCTGTATGATATCGCAGTGGTAGATATAGCACAGCTCCTCTGTGTGATATCACAGTGGTAGATACAATGAAGCTCCTCTGTATGATATCACAGCGGTAGATATAGTGAAGCTACCCTGTATGATATCACAGTGGTAGATATAGTGAAGCTCCTCTGTATGATATCACAGTGGTGGATATAGTGAAGCTGCTCTGTATGATATCACAGTGGTGGATATAGTGAAGCTCCTCTGTATCATATCACAGTGGTGGATATAGTGAAGCTCCTCTGTATGATATCACAGTGTTAGATACAGTGAAGCAGCTCTGTATGATATCACAGTGGTAGATACAGTGAAGCTCCTCTATATGATATCACAGTGGTAGATATAGTGAAGCTCCTCTGTGTGATATCACACTGGTAGATATAGTGAAGCTGCTCTGTGTGATATCACAGTGGTAGATATAGTGAAGCTGCTCTGTATGATATAACAGTGGGAGATATAGTGAAGCTGCTCTGTATGATATCAACAGTGCAGCTGCTCTGTATGATATCACAGTGGTAGTTATAGAGAAGCTCCCCTGTATGATATCACAGTGGTAGATATAGTGAAGCTGCTCTGTATGATATCACAGTGGTAGATACAGTGAAGCTCCTCTGTGTGATATCACAGTGGTAGATATAGTGAAGCTCCTCTGTGTGATATCACAGTGGTAGATATAGTGAAGCTCCTCTGTGTGATATCACAGTGGTAGATATAGTGAAGCTCCTCTGTATGATATCACAGTGGTAGATATAGTCAAGCTCCTCTGTATGATATCACACTGGTAGATATAGTGAAGCTGCTCTGTGTGATATCACAGTGGTAGATATAGTGAAGCTGCTCTGTATGATATAAAAGTGGGAGATATAGTGAAGCTGCTCTGTATGATATCAACAGTGCAGCTGCTCTGTATGATATCACAGTGGTAGTTATAGAGAAGTTCCCCTGTATGATATCACAGTGGTAGATATAGTGAAGCTGCTCTGTATGATATCACAGTGGTAGATACAGTGAAGCTCCTCTGTCTGATATCACAGTGGTAGATATAGTGAAGCTCCTCTGTGTGATATCACAGTGGTAGATATAGTGAAGCTCCTCTGTGTGATATCACAGTGGTAGATATAGTGAAGCTCCTATATATGATACCACAGTGGTAGATATAGTGAAGCTCCTCTGTATGATATCACAGTGGTAGATATAGTGAAGCTCCTCTGTGTGATATCACAGTGGTAGATACAGTGAAGCTCCTCTGTGTGATATCACAGTGGTACATATAGTGAAGCTCCTCTGTATGATATCACAGTGGTAGATAAAGTGAAGCTGCTCTGTGTGATATCACAGTGGTAGATATAGTGGAGCTGCTCTGTATGATATCACAGAGGTACATATAGTAAAGCTCCGCTGTACATCACAGTGGTAGATAAAGTGAAGCTCCTCTGTATGATATCACAGTCGTAGATATAGTGAAGCTCCTCTGTGTGATGTCACAGTAGTAGATATAGTGAAGCTCCCATGTATGATATCACAGTGGTACGTATAGTGAAGTTCCTCTGTGTGATATCACAGTGGTAGATTTAGTGAAGCTCGCCTGTATGATATCACAGTGGTAGATATAGTGAAGTTCCTCTGTGTGATATCACAGTGGTAGATATAGTGAAGTTCCCCATATGATATCACAGTGATAGATATCGTGAAGCTCCCCTGTATGATACCACAGTGGTAGATATAGTGAAGATCCTCTGTGTGACAGCACAGTGGTAGATATAGTGAAGATCCCCTGTAGGATATCACAGTGGTAGATATAGTGAAGCTGCTCTGTGTGATATCACAGTGGTACATACAGTGAAGCTCCTCTGTGTGATATCACAGTGGTAGAAATAGTGAAGCTCCTCTGTATGATATCACAGTGGTAGATATAGTGAAGCTCCTCTGTGTGATATCAGAGTGGTAGATACAGTGAAGCTGCTCTGTATGATATCACAGTGGTAGATATAGTGAAGCTCCTCTGTGTGATATCACAGTGGTAGATACAGTGAAGCTGCTCTGTATGATATCACAGTGGTAGATATTGTGAAGCTCCTCTCTGTGATATCACAGTGGTAGATACAGTGAAGCTTGTCAGTGTGATATCACAGTGGTAGATATAGTGAAGCTGCTCTGTATGATATAACAGTGGTAGATATAGTGAAGCTCCCCTGTATGATATCACAGTGGTAGATACACTGAAGCTGCTCTGTATGATATCACAGTGGTAGCTATAGCACAGCTCCTCTGTGTGATATCACAGTGGTAGATACAATGAAGCTCCTCTGTGTGATATCACAGTGGTAGATATAGTGAAGGTCCCCTGTATGATATCACAGTGGTGGATATAGTGAAGCTCCTCTGTATGATATCACAGTGGTAGATATAATGAAGCTTCCCTGTATAATATCACAAAGGTAGATATAGTGAAGCTCCTCTGTATGATATCACAGTGGTAGATATAGTGAAGCTCCTCTGTGTGATATCACAGTGGTAGATACAGTGAAGCTGCTCTGTATGATATCACAGTGGTAGATATAGTGAAGTTCCTCTGTGTGATATCACACTGGTAGATACAGTGAAGCTGCTCTGTATGATATCGCAGTGATAGATATAGTGAAGCTCCTCTGTGTGATATCACACTGGTAGATACAGTGAAACTGCTCTGTATGATATCACAGTGGTAGATATTGTGAAGCTCCTCTGTGTGATATCACAGTGGAAGATACAGTGAAGCTCGTCTGTGTGATATCACAGTGGTAGATATAGTGAAGCTCCTCTGTGTGATATCACACTGGTAGATACAGTGTAGCTGCTCTGTATGATATCACAGTGGTAGATATTGTGAAGTTCCGCTGTGTGAAATCACAGTGGTAGATAGAGTGAAGCTCGTCTGTGTGATATCACACTGGTAGATATAGTGAAGCTGCTCTGTATGATATAACAGTGGTAGATACAGTGAAGATCCCCTGTATGATATCACAGTGGTAGATACACTGAAGCTGCTCTGTATGATATCGCAGTGGTAGATATAGCACAGCTCCTCTGTGTGATATCACAGTGGTAGATACAATGAAGCTCCTCTGTATGATATCACAGTGGTAGATATCGTGAAGCTCCCCTGTATGATATCACAGTGGTGGATATAGTGAAGCTCCTCTGTATGATATCACAGTGGTGGATATAGTGAAGCTCCTCTGTGATATCACAGTGGTGGATATAGTGAAGCTCCTCTGTATGATATCACAGTGGTAGATACAGTGAAGCAGCTCTGTATGATATCACAGTGGTAGATACAGTGAAGCTCCTCTATATGATATCACAGTGGTAGATATAGTGAAGCTCCTCTGTGTGATATCACAGTGGTAGATATAGAGAAGCTGCTCTGTATGATATCTATAGTGGAGCTGCTCTGTATATCATCACAGTGGTAGTTATAGAGAAGCTCCCCTGTATGATATCACAGTGGTGGATATAGTGAAGCTCCTCTGTATGATATCACAGTGGTAGATACAGTGAAGCAGCTCTGTATGATATCACAGTGGTAGATACAGTGAAGCTCCTCTATATGATATCACAGTGGTAGATATAGTGAAGCTCCTCTGTGTGATCTCACAGTGGTAGATATAGTGAAGCTGCTCTGTATGATATCAATAGTGGAGCTGCTCTGTATATCATCACAGTGGTAGTTATAGAGAAGCTCCCCTGTATGATATCACAGTGGTAGATATAGTGAAGCTGCTCTGTATGATATCACAGTGGTAGATACAGCGAAGTTCCTCTGTGTGATACCACAGTGGTAAGATACAGTGAAGCTCCTCTGTGTGATATCACAGTGGTACATATAGTGAAGCTCCTCTGTGTGATATCACAGTGGTAGATACAGTGAAGCTGCTCTGTATGATATCACAGTGGTAGATATTGTGAAGCTCCTCTGTGTGATATCACAGTGGTAGATACAGTGAAGCTTGTCAGTGTGATATCACAGTGGTAGATATAGTGAAGCTGCTCTGTATGATATAACAGTGGTAGATATAGCGAAGCTCCCCTGTATGATATCACACTGGTAGATACACTGAAGCTGCTCTGTATGATATCACAGTGGTAGCTATAGCACAGCTCCTCTGTGTGATATCACAGTGGTAGATACAATGAAGCTCCTCTGTGTGATATCACAGTGGTAGATATAGTGAAGGTCCCCTGTATGATATCACAGTGGTGGATATAGTGAAGCTCCTCTGTATGATATCACAGTGCTAGATATAATGAAGTTTCCCTGTATAATATCACAGAGGTAGATATAGTGAAGCTCCTCTGTATGATATCACAGTGGTAGATAAAGTGAAGCTCCTCTGTGTGATATCACAGTGGTAGATACAGTGAAGCTGCTCTGTATGATATCACAGTGGTAGATATAGTGAAGTTCCTCTGTGTGATATCACACTGGTAGATACAGTGAAGCTGCTCTGTATGATATCGCAGTGATAGATATAGTGAAGCTCCTCTGTGTGATATCACACTGGTAGATACAGTGAAACTGCTCTGTATGATATCACAGTGGTAGATATTGTGAAGCTCCTCTGTGTGATATCACAGTGGTAGATACAGTGAAGCTCGTCTGTGTGATATCACAGTGGTAGATATAGTGAAGCTGCTCTGTATGATATAACACTGGTAGATACAGTGAAGATCCCCTGTATGATATCACAGTGGTAGATACACTGAAGCTGCTCTGTATGATATCGCAGTGGTAGATATAGCACAGCTCCTCTGTGTGATATCACAGTGGTAGATACAATGAAGCTCCTCTGTATGATATCACAGTGGTAGATATAGTGAAGCTACCCTGTATGATATCACAGTGGTAGATATAGTGAAGGTCCTCTGTATGATATCACAGTGGTGGATATAGTGAAGCTCCTCTGTATGATAGCACAGTGGTGGATATAGTGAAGCTCCTCTGTATGATATCACAGTGGTGGATATAGTGAAGCTCCTCTGTATGATATCACAGTGGTAGATACAGTGAAGCAGCTCTGTATGATATCACAGTGGTAGATACAGTGAAGCTCCTCTATATGATATCACAGTGGTAGATATAGTGAAGCTCCTCTGTGTGATATCACACTGGTAGATATAGTGAAGCTGCTCTGTGTGATATCACAGTGGTAGATATAGTGAAGCTGCTCTGTATGATATAACAGTGGGAGATATAGTGAAGCTGCTCTGTATGATATCAACAGTGCAGCTGCTCTGTATGATATCACAGTGGTAGTTATAGAGAAGCTACCCTGTATGATATCACAGTGGTAGACATAGTGAAGCTGCTCTGTATGATATCACAGTGGTAGATACAGTGAAGCTCCTCTGTGTGATATCACAGTGGTAGATATAGTGAAGCTCCTCTGTGTGATATCACAGTGGTAGATATAGTGAAGCTCCTATATATGATACCACAGTGGTAGATATAGTGAATCTCCTCTGTATGATATCACAGTGGTAGATATAGTGAAGCTCCTCTGTGTGATATCACAGTGGTACATACAGTGAAGCTCCTCTGTGTGATATCACAGTGGTACATATAGTGAAGCTCCTCTGTATGATATCACAGTGGTAGATACAGTGAAGCTGCTCTGTGTGATATCACAGTGGTAGATATAGTGGAGCTGCTCTGTATGATATCACAGTGGTACATATAGTAAAGCTCCGCTGTATATCACAGTGGTAGATAAAGTGAAACTCCTCTGTATGATATCACAGTCGTAGATATAGTGAAGCTCCTCTGTGTGATGTCACAGTAGTAGATATAGTGAAGCTCCCATGTATGATATCACAGTGGTACGTATAGTGAAGTTCCTCTGTGTGATATCACAGTGGTAGATTTAGTAAAGCTCCCCTGTATGATTCCACAGTGGTAGATATAGTGAAGATCCTCTGTGTGACATCACAGTGGTAGATATAGTGAAGATCCCCTGTAGGATATCACAGTGGTAGATATAGTGAAGCTGCTCTGTGTGATATCACAGTGGTACATACAGTGAAGCTCCTCTGTGTGATATCACAGTGGTAGAAATAGTGAAGCTCCTCTGTATGATATCACAGTGGTAGCTGTAGTGAAGCTCCTCTGTGTGATATCACAGTGGTAGATACAGTGAAGCTGCTCTGTATGATATCACAGTGGTAGATATAGTGAAGTTCCTCTGTGTAATATCACACTGGTAGCTACAGTGAAGCTGCTCTGTATGATATCACAGTGGTAGATATAGTGAAGCTCCTCTGTGTGATATCACACTGGTAGATACAGTGAAGCTGCTCTGTATGATATCACAGTGGTAGATATTGTGAAGTTCCGCTGTGTGAAATCACAGTGGTAGATAGAGTGAAGCTCGTCTGTGTGATATCACAGTGGTAGATACAGTGAAGCCGCTCTGTATGATATAACAGTGGTAGATACAGTGAAGATCCCCTGTATGATATCACAGTGGTAGATACATTGAAGCTGCTCTGTATGATATCGCAGTGGTAGATATAGCACAGCTCCTCTGTGTGATATCACAGTGGTAGATACAATGAAGCTCCTCTGTATGATATCACAGTGGTAGATATAGTGAAGCTGCCCTGTATGATATCACAGTGGTAGATATCGTGAAGCTCCCCTGTATGATATCACAGTGGTGGATATAGTGAAGCTCCTCTGTATGATATCACAGTGGTGGATACAGTGAAGCTCCTCTATGATATCACAGTGGTGGATATAGTGAAGCTCCTCTGTATGATATCACAGTGGTAGATACAGTGAAGCAGCTCTGTATGATATCACAGTGGTAGATACAGTGAAGCTCCTCTATATGATATCACAGTGGTAGATATAGTGAAGCTCCTCTGTGTGATATCACAGTGGTAGATATAGTGAAGCTGCTCTGTATGATATCTATAGTGGAGCTGCTCTGTATATCATCACAGTGGTAGTTATAGAGAAGCTCCCCTGTATGATATCACAGTGGTAGATATAGTGAAGCTGCTCTGTATGATATCACAGTGGTAGATACAGCGAAGCTCCTCTGTGTGATATCACAGTGGTAAGATACAGTGAAGCTCCTCTGTGTGATATCACAGTGGTACATATAGTGAAGCTCCTCTGTGTGATATCACAGTGGTAGATACAGTGAAGCTGCTCTGTATGATATCACAGTGGAAGATATTGTGAAGCTCCTCTGTGTGATATCACAATGGTAGTTACAGTGAAGGTTGTCAGTGTGATATCACAGTGGTAGATATAGTGAAGCTGCTCTGTATGATATAACAGTGGTAGATATAGTGAAGCTCCCCTGTATGATATCACAGTGGTAGATACACTGAAGCTGCTCTGTATGATATCACAGTGGTAGCTATAGCACAGCTCCTCTGTGTGATATCACAGTGGTAGATACAATGAAGCTCCTCTGTGTGATATCACAGTGGTAGATATAGTGAAGGTCCCCTGTATGATATCACAGTGGTGGATATAGTGAAGCTCCTCTGTATGATATCACAGTGGTAGATATAATGAAGCTGCCCTGTATAATATCACAGAGGTAGATATAGTGAAGCTCCTCTGTATGATATCACAGTGGTAGATATAGTAAAGCTCCTCTGTGTGATATCACAGTGGTAGATATAGTGAAGCTGCTCTGTATGATATCACAGTGATAGATATAGTGAAGCTCCTGTGTGTGATATCACACTGGTAGATACAGTGAAGCTGCTCTGTATGATATCACAGTGGTAGATATTGTGAAGCTCCTCTGTGTGATATCACAGTGGTAGATACAGTGAAGCTCGTCTGTGTGATATCACAGTGGTAGATACAATGAAGCTGCTCTGTATGATATAACACTGGTAGATACAGTGAAGATCCCCTGTATGATATCACAGTGGTAGATACACTGAAGCTGCTCTGTATGATATCGCAGTGGGAGATATAGCACAGCTCCTCTGTGTGATATCACAGTGGTAGATACAATGAAGCTCCTCTGTATGATATCACAGTGGTAGATATAGTGAAGCTACCCTGTATGATATCACAGTGGTAGATATAGTGAAGCTCCTCTGTATGATATCACAGTGGTAGATATAGTGAAGCTCCTCTGTATGATATCACAGTGGTGGATATAGTGAAGCTCCTCTGTATGATATCACAGTGGTGGATATAGTGAAGCTCCTCTGTATGATATCACAGTGTTAGATACAGTGAAGCAGCTCTGTATGATATCACAGTGGTAGATACAGTGAAGCTCCTCTATATGATATCACAGTGGTAGATATAGTGAAGCTCCTCTGTGTGATATCACACTGGTAGATATAGTGAAGCTGCTCTGTGTGATATCACAGTGGTAGATATAGTGAAGCTTCTCTGTATGATATAACAGTGGGAGATATAGTGAAGCTGCTCTGTATGATATCAACAGTGCAGCTGCTCTGTATGATATCACAATGGTAGTTATAGAGAAGCTCCCCTGTATGATATCACAGTGGTAGATATAGTGAAGCTGCTCTGTATGATATCACAGTGGTAGATACAGTGAAGCTCCTCTGTGTGATATCACAGTGGTAGATATAGTGAAGCTCCTCTGTGTGATATCACAGTGGTAGATATAGTGAAGCTCCTATATATGATACCACAGTGGTAGATATAGTGAAGCTCCTGTGTATGATATCACAGTGGTAGATATAGTGAAGCTCCTCTGTGTGATATCACAGTGGTAGATACAGTGAAGCTCCTCTGTGTGATATCACAGTGGTACATATAGTGAAGCTCCTCTGTATGTTATCACAGTGGTAGATACACTGAAGCTGCTCTGTATGATATCACAGTAGTAGCTATAGCACAGCTCCTCTGTGTGATATCACAGTGGTAGATACAATGAAGCTCCTCTGTGTGATATCACAGTGGTAGATATAGTGAAGGTACCCTGTATGATATCACAGTGGTGGATATAGTGAAGCTCCACTGTATGATATCACAGTGGTCGATATAGTGAAGCTGCTCTGTGTGATATCACAGTGGTAGATATAGTGAAGCTCCTCTGTATGATATCACAGTGGTGGATATAGTGAAGCTCCTCTGTATGATATCACAGTGGTGGATATAGTGAAGCGCCTCTGTATGATATCACAGTGGTAGATACAGTGAAGCAGCCCTGTATGATATCACAGTGGTAGATACAGTGAAGCTGCTCTGTGTGATATCACAGTGGTAGATATAGTGGAGCTGCTCTGTATTATGTCACAGTGGTACATGTACTAAAGCTCCGCTGTATATCACAGTGGTAGATAAAGTGAAGCTCCTCTGTATGATATCGCAGTCGTAGATAGAGTGAAGCTCCTCTGTGTGATGTCACAGTAGTAGATATAGTGAAGCTCCCATGTTTGATATCACAGTGGTACGTATAGTGAAGTTCTTCTGTGTGATATCACAGTGGTAGATTTAGTGAAGCTCCCCTGTACGATATCACAGTGGTAGATATAGTGAAGTTCCTCTGTGTGATATCACAGTGGTAGATATAGTGAAGTTCCCCATATGATATCACAGTGATAGATATCGTGAAGCTCCCCTGTATGATACCACAGTGGTAGATATAGTGAAGATCCTCTGTGTGACATCACAGTGGTAGATATAGTGAAGATCCCCTGTAGGATATCACAGTGGTAGATATAGAGAAGCTGCTCTGTGTGATATCACAGTGGTACATACAGCGAAGCTCCTCTGTGTGATATCACAGTGGTAGAAATAGTGAAGCTCCTCTGTATGATATCACAGTGGTAGATATAGTGAAGCTCCTCTGTGTGATATCACAGTGGTAGATACAGTGAAGCTGCTCTGTATGATATCACAGTGGTAGATATAGTGAAGTTCCTCTGTGTAATATCACACTGGTAGATACAGTGAAGCTGCTCTGTATGATATCACAGTGGTAGATATAGTGAAGCTCCTCTGTGTGATATCACACTGGTAGATACAGTGAAGCTGCTCTGTATGATATCACAGTGGTAGGTATTGTGAAGTTCCTCTGTGTGAAATCACAGTGGTAGATACAGTGAAGCTCGTCTGTGTGATATCACAGTGGTAGATATAGTGAAGCTGCTCTGTATGTTATAACAGTGGTAGATACAGTGAAGATCCCCTGTATGATATCACAGTGGTAGATACACTGAAGCTGCTCTGTATGATATCGCAGTGGTAGATATAGCACAGCTCCTCTGTGTGATATCACAGTGGTAGATACAATGAAGCTCCTCTGTATGATATCACAGTGGTAGATATAGTGAAGCTGCCCTGTATGATATCACAGCGGTAGATATCGTGAAGCTCCCCTGTATGATATCACAGTGGTGGATATAGTGAAGCTCCTCTGTATGATATCACAGTGGTGGATATAGTGAAGCTCCTCTATGATATCACAGTGGTGGATATAGTGAAGCTCCTCTGTATGATATCACAGTGTTAGATACAGTGAAGCAGCTCTGTATGATATCACAGTGGTAGATACAGTGAAGCTCCTCTATATGATATCACAGTGGTAGATATAGTGAAGCTCCTCTGTGTGGTCTCACAGTGGTAGATATAGTGAAGCTGCTCTGTATGATATCAATAGTGGAGCTGCTCTGTATATCATCACAGTGGTAGTTATAGAGAAGCTCCCCTGTATGATATCACAGTGGTAGATACAGTGAAGCTCCTCTGTGTGATATCACAGTGGTAAGATACAGTGAAGCTCCTCTGTGTGATATCACAGTGGTACCTATAGTGAAGCTCCTCTGTGTGATATCACAGTGGTAGATACAGTGAAGCTGCTCTGTATGATATCACAGTGGTAGATATTGTGAAGCTCCTCTGTGTGATTTCACAGTGGTAGATACAGTGAAGCTTGTCAGCGTGATATCACAGTGGTAGATATAGTGAAGCTGCTCTCTAAGATATAACAGTGGTAGATATAGTGAAGCTCCCCTGTATGATATCACAGTGGTAGATACACTGAAGCTGCTCTGTATGATATCACAATGGTAGCTATAGCACAGCTCCTCTGTGCGATATCACATTGGTAGATACAGTGAAGCTCCTCTGTGCGATATCACAGTGGTAGATATAGTGAAGCTCCTCAGTGTGATATCACAGTAGCAGATACAGTGAAGCTCCTCTGTATGATATCACAGTGGTAGATATAGTGAAGCTCCTCTGTATGATATCACAGTGGTAGATATAGTGAAGCTCCTCTGTGCGATATCACAGTGGTAGATACAGTGAAGCAGCTCTGTATGATATCACAGTGGCAGATACAGTGAAGCTCCTCTGTATGATATCACAGTGGCAGATACAGTGAAGCTCCTCTGTATGATATCACAGTGTTAGATATAGTGAAGCAGCTCTGTATGATATCACAGTGGTAGATATAGTGAAGCTCCTCTGTATGATATCACAGTGGTAGATACAGTGAAGCTCCTCTGTGCGATATCACAGTGGCAGATACAGTGAAGCTCCTCTGTGTGATATCACAGTGGTATATACAGTGAAGCAGCTCTGTATGATATCACAGTGGCAGATACAGTGAAGCTCCTCTGTATGATATCACAGTGGCAGATACAGTGAAGCTCCTCTGTATGTTATCACAGTGGTAGATATAGTGAAGCAGCTCTGTATGATATCACAGTGGTAGATATAGTGAAGCTCCTCTGTATGATATCACAGTGGTAGATACAGTGAAGCTCCTCTGTGCGATATCACAGTGGCAGATACAGTGAAGCTCCTCTGTGTGATATCACAGTGGTAGATACAGTGAAGCAGCTCTGTATGATATCACAGTGGCAGATACACTGAAGCTCCTCTGTATGATATCACAGTGACAGATACAGTGAAGCTCCTCTGTATGATATCACAGTGTTAGATATAGTGAAGCAGCTCTCTATGATATCACAGTGGTAGATATAGTGAAGCTCCTCTGTATGATATCACAGTGGTAGATACAGTGAAGCTCCTCTGTGCGATATCACAGTGGCAGATACAGTGAAGCTCCTCTGTGTGATATCACAGTGGTAGATACAGTGAAGATGCTCTGTATGATATCAATAGTGCAGCTGCTCTGTATGACATCACAGTGGTAGATATACTGAAGCTCCCCTGTATGATATCACAGTGGTAGATATAATGAAGCTGCCCTGTATAATATCACAGAGGTAGATATAGTGAAGCTGCTCTGTATGATATCACAGTGGTGGATATAGTGAAGTTCCTCTGTGTGATATCACACTGGTAGATACAGTGAAGCTGCTCTGTATGACATCACAGTGATAGATATAGTGAAGCTCCTCTGTGTGATATCACACTGGTAGATACAGTGAAGCTGCTCTGTATGATATCACAGTGGTAGATATTGTGAAGCTCCTCTGTGTGTTATCACAGTGGTAGATACAGTGAAGCTCGTCTGTGTGATATCACAGTGGTAGATATAGTGAAGCTGCTCTGTATATAACACTGGTAGATACAGTGAAGATCCCCTGTATGATATCACAGTGGTAGATACACTGAAGCTGCTCTTTATGATATCGCAGTGGTAGATATAGCACAGCTCCTCTGTGTGATATCACAGTGGTAGATACAATGAAGCTCCTCTGTATGATATCACAGTGGTAGATATAGTGAAGCTACCCTGTATGATATCACAGTGGTAGATATAGTGAAGCTCCTCTGTATGATATCACAGTGGTGGATATAGTGAAGCTCCTCTGTATGATATCACAGTGGTGGATATAGTGAAGCTCCTCTGTATGACATCACAGTGGTGGATATAGTGAAGCTCCTCTGCATGATATCACAGTGGTGGATATAGTGAAGCTCCTCTGTATGACATCACAGTGGTGGATATAGTGAAGCTCCTCTGTATGATATCACAGTGGTAGATACAGTGAAGCTCCTCTGTGTGATATCACAGTGGTACATATAGTGAAGATCCTCTGTATAATATCACAGTGGTAGATACACTGAAGCTGCTCTGTATGATATCACAGTGGTAGCTGTAGCACAGCTCCTCTGTGTGATATCACAGTGGTAGATACAATGAAGCTCCTCTGTGTGATATCACAGTGGTAGATACAGTGAAGGTCCCCTGTATGATATCACAGTGGTAGATATAGTGAAGCTCCACTGTATGATATCACAGTGGTCGATATAGTGAAGCTGCTCTGTGTGATATCACAGTGGTAGATATAGTGAAGCTCCTCTGTATGATATCACAGTGGTGGATATAGTGAAGCTCCTCTGTATGATATCACAGTGGTGGATATAGTGAAGCGCCTCTGTATGATATCACAGTGGTAGATACAGTGAAGCAGCCCTGTATGATATCACACTGGTAGATACAGTGAAGCTGCTCTGTGTGATATCACAGTGGTAGATATAGTGGAGCTGCTCTGTATGATATCACAGTGGTACATATAGTAACGCTCCGCTGTATATCACAGTGGTAGATAAAGTGAAGCTCCTCTGTATGATATCACAGTCGTAGATATAGTGAAGCTCCTCTGTGTGATGTCACAGTAGTAGATATAGTGAAGCTCCCATGTACGATATCACAGTGGTACGTATAGTGAAGTTCTTCTGTGTGATATCACAGTGGTAGATTTAGTGAAGCTCCCCTGTATGATATCACAGTGGTAGATATAGTGAAGTTCCTCTGTGTGATATCACAGTGGTAGATATAATGAAGTTCCCCATATGATACCACAGTGATAGATATCGTGAAGCTCCCCTGTATGATACCACAGTGGTAGATATAGTGAAGATCCTCTGTGTGACATCACAGTGGTAGATATAGTGAAGATCCCCTGTAGGATATCACAGTGGTAGATATAGTGAAGCTGCTCTGTGTGATATCACAGTGGTACATACAGTGAAGCTCCTCTGTGTGATATCACAGTGGTAGAAATAGTGAAGCTCCTCTGTATGATATCACAGAGGTAGATATAGTGAAGCTCCTCTGTGTGATATCACAGTGGTAGATACAGTGAAGCTGCTCTGTATGATATCACAGTGGTAGATATAGTGAAGTTCCTCTGTGTAATATCACACTGGTAGATACAGTGAAGCTGCTCTGTATGATATCACAGTGGTAGATATAGTGAAGCTCCTCTGTGTGATATCACACTGGTAGATACAGTGAAGCTGCTCTGTATGATATCACAGTGGTAGATATTGTGAAGTTCCTCTGTGTGAAATCACAGTGTTAGATACAGTGAAACTCGTCTGTGTGATATCACAGTGGTAGATATAGTGAAGCTGCTCTGTATGATATAACAGTGCTAGATACAGTGAAGATCCCCTGTATGATATCACAGTGGTACATACACTGAAGCTGCTCTGTATGATATCGCAGTGGTAGATATAGCACAGCTCCTCTGTGTGATATCACAGTGGTAGATACAATGAAGCTCCTCTGTATGATATCACAGTGGTAGATATAGTGAAGCTGCCGTGTATGATATCACAGTGGTAGATATCGTGAAGCTCCCCTGTATGATATCACAGTGGTGGATATAGTGAAGTTCCTCGGTATGATATCACAGTGGTGGATATAGTGAAGCTCCTCTATGATATCACAGTGGTGCATATAGTGAAGCTCCTCTGTATGATATCACAGTGGTAGATACAGTGAAGCAGCTCTGTATGATATCACAGTGGTAGATACAGTGAAGCTCCTCTATATGATATCACAGTGGTAGATATAGTGAAGCTCCTCTGTGTGATATCACAGTGGTAGATATAGTGAAGCTGCTCTGTATGATATCAATAGTGGAGCTGCTCTGTATATCATCATAGTGGTAGTTATAGAGAAGCTCCCCTGTATGATATCACAGTGGTGGATATAGTGAAGCTCCTCTGTATGATATCACAGTGGTAGATACAGTGAAGCAGCTCTGTATGAAATCACAGTGGTAGATACAGTGAAGCTCCTCTGTGTGATATCACAGTGGTACATATAGTGAAGCTCCTCTGTATGATATCACAGTGGTAGATATAGTGAAGTTCCTCTGTGTGATATCACACTGGTAGATACAGTGAAGCTGCTCTGTATGATATCGCAGTGATAGATATAGTGAAGCTCCTCTGTGTGATATCACACTGGTAGATACAGTGAAGCTGCTCTGTATGATATCACAGTGGTAGATATTGTGAAGCTCCTCTGTGTGATATCACAGTGGTAGATACAGTGAAGCTCGTCTGTGTGATATCACAGTGGTAGATATAGTGAAGCTGCTCTGTATGATATAACACTGGTAGATACAGTGAAGATCCCCTGTATGATATCACAGTGGTAGATACACTGAAGCTGCTCTGTATGATATCGCAGTGGAAGATATAGCACAGCTCCTCTGTGTGATATCACAGTGGTAGATACAATGAAGCTCCTCTGTATGATATCACAGTGGTAGATATAGTGAAGCTCCTCTGTATGATATCACAGTGGTGGATATAGTGAAGCTCCTCTGTATGATATCACAGTGGTGGATATAGTGAAGCTCCTCTGTATGATATCACAGTGGTGGATATAGTGAAGCTCCTCTGTATGATATCACAGTGGTAGATACAGTGAAGCAGCTCTGTACGATATCACAGTGGTAGATACAGTGAAGCTCCTCTATATGATATCACAGTGGTAGATATAGTGAAGCTCCTCTGTGTGATATCACACTGGTAGATATAGTGAAGCTGCTCTGTGTGATATCACAGTGGTAGATATAGTGAAGCTGCTCTGTATGATATAACAGTGGGAGATATAGTGAAGATGCTCTGTGTGATATCAACAGTGCAGCTGCTCTGTATGATATCACAGTGGTAGTTATAGAGAAGCTCCCCTGTATGATATTACAGCGGTAGATATAGTGAAGCTGCTCTGTATGATATCACAGTGGTAGATACAGTGAAGCTCCTCTGTGTGATATCACAGTGGTAGATAAAGTGAAGCTCCTCTGTGTGATATCACAGTGGTAGATATAGTGAAGCTCCTATATTTGATACCACAGTGGTAGATATAGTGAAGCTCCTCTGTATGATATCACAGTGGTAGATATAGTGAAGCTCCTCTGTGTGATATCACAGTGGTAGATACAGTGAAGCTCCTCTGTGTGATATCACAGTGGTACATATAGTGAAGCTCCTCTGTATGATATCACAGTGGTAGATACACTGAAGCTGCTCTGTATGATATCACAGTGGTAGCTATAGCACAGCTCCTCTGTGTGATATCACAGTGGTAGATACAATGAAGCTCCTCTGTGTGATATCACAGTGGTAGATATAGTGAAGGTACCCTGTATGATATCACAGTGGTGGATATAGTGAAGCTCCACTGTATGATATCACAGTGGTCGATATAGTGAAGCTGCTCTGTGTGATATCACAGTGGTAGATATAGTGAAGCTCCTCTGTATGATATCACAGTGGTGGATATAGTGAAGCTCCTCTGTATGATATCACAGTGGTGGATATAGTGAAGCGCCTCTGTATGATATCACAGTGGTAGATACAGTGAAGCAGCCCTGTATGATATCACAGTGGTAGATACAGTGAAGCTGCTCTGTGTGATATCACAGAGGTAGATATAGTGGAGCTGCTCTGTATGATATCACAGTGGTACATGTAGTAAAGCTCCGCTGTATATCACAGTGGTAGATAAAGTGAAGCTCCTCTGTATGATATCACAGTCGTAGATATAGTGAAGCTCCTCTGTGTGATGTCACAGTAGTAGATATAGTGAAGCTCCCATGTATGATATCACAGTGGTACGTATAGTGAAGTTCTTCTGTGTGATATCACCGTGGTAGATTTAGTGAAGCTCCCCTGTATGATATCACAGTGGTAGATATAGTGAATTTCCTCTGTGTGATATCACAGTGGTAGATATAGTGAAGTTCCCCATATGATATCACAGTGATAGATATCGTGAAGCTCCCCTGTATGATACCACAGTGGTAGATATAGTGAAGATCCTCTGTGTGACAGCACAGTGGTAGATATAGTGAAGATCCCCTGTAGGATATCACAGTGGTAGATATAGTGAAGCTGCTCTGTGTGATATCACAGTGGTACATACAGTGAAGCTCCTCTGTGTGATATCACAGTGGTAGAAATAGTGAAGCTCCTCTGTATGATATCACAGTGGTAGATATAGTGAAGCTCCTCTGTGTGATATCACAGTGGTAGATACAGTGAAGCTGCTCTGTATGATATCACAGTGGTAGATATAGTGAAGATCCTTTGTGTGATATCACAGTGGTAGATACAGTGAAGCTGCTCTGTATGATATCACAGTGGTAGATATTGTGAAGCTCCTCTGTGTGATATCACAGTGGTAGATACAGTGAAGCTTGTCAGTGTGATATCACAGTGGTAGATATAGTGAAGCTGCTCTGTATGATATAACAGTGGTAGATATAGTGAAGCTCCCCTGTATGATATCACAGAGGTAGATACACTGAAGCTGCTCTGTATGATATCACAGTGGTAGCTACAACACAGCGCCTCTGTGTGATAACACGGTGGTAGATACAATGAAGCTCCTCTGTGTGATATCACAGTGGTAGATATAGTGAAGGTCCCCTGTATGATATCACAGTGGTGGATATCGTGAAGCTCCTCTGTATGATATCACAGTGGTACATATAATGAAGCTGCCCTGTATAATATCACAGAGGTAGATATAGTGAAGCTCCTCTGTATGATATCACAGTGGTAGATATAGTGAAGCTCCTCTGTGTGATATCACAGTGGTAGGTACAGTGAAGCTGCTCTGTATGATATCACAGTGGTAGATATAGTGAAGTTCCTCTGTGTGATATCACACTGGTAGATACAGTGAAGCTGCTCTGTATGATATTGCAGTGATAGATATAGTGAAGCTCCTCTGTGTGATATCACACTGGTAGATACAGTGAAGCTGCTCTGTATGATATAACACTGGTAGATACAGTGAAGATCCCCTGTATGATATCACAGTGGTAGATACACTGAAGCTGCTCTGTATGATATCGCAGTGGTAGATATAGCACAGCTCCTCTGTGTGATATCACAGTGGTAGATACAATGAAGCTCCTCTGTATGATATCACAGTGGTAGATATAGTGAAGCTACCCTGTGTGATATCACAGTGGTAGATATAGTGAAGCTCCTCTGTATGATATCACAGTGGTGGATATAGTGAAGCTCCTCTGTATGATATCACAGTGGTGGATATAGTGAAGCTCCTCTGTATGATATCACAGTGGTGGATATAGTGAAGCTCCTCTGTATGATATCACAGTGGTAGATACAGTGAAGCAGCTCTGTATGATATCACAGTGGTAGATACAGTGAAGCTCCTCTATATGATATCACAGTGGTAGATATAGTGAAGCTCCTCTGTGTGATATCACACTGGTAGATATAGTGAAGCTGCTCTGTGTGATATCACAGTGGTAGATATAGTGAAGCTGCTCTGTATGATATAACAGTGGGAGACATAGTGAAGCTGCTCTGTATGATATCAACAGTGCAGCTGCTCTGTATGATATTACAGTGGTAGTTATAGAGAAGCTCCCCTGTATGATATCACAGTGGTAGATATATTGAAGCTGCTCTGTATGATATCACAGTGGTAGATACAGTGAAGCTCCTCTGTGTGATATCACAGTGGTAGATATAGTGAAGCTCCTATATATGATACCACAGTGGTAGATATAGTGAAGCTCCGCTGTATGATATCACAGTGGTAGATATAGTGAAGCTCCTCTGTGTGATATCACAGTGGTAGATACAGTGAAGCTCCTCTGTGTGATATCACAGTGGTACATATAGTGAAGCTCCTCTGTATGATATCACAGTGGTAGATACACTGAAGCTGCTCTGTATGATATCACAGTGGTAGCTATAGCACAGCTCCTCTGTGTGATATCACAGTGGTAGATACAATGAAGCTCCTCTGTGTGATATCACAGTGGTAGATATAGTGAAGGTCCCCTGTATGATATCACAGTGGTGGATATAGTGAAGCTCCACTGTATGATATCACAGTGGTCGATATAGTGAAGCTGCTCTGTGTGATATCAAAGTGGTAGATATAGTGAAGCTCCTCTGTATGATATCACAGTGGTGGATATAGTGAAGCTCCTCTGTATGATATCACAGTGGTAGATACAGTGAAGCAGCCCTGTATGATATCACAGTGGTAGATACAGTGAAGCTGCTCTGTGTGGTATCACAGTGGTAGATATAGTGGAGCTGCTCTGTATGATATCACAGTGGTACATGTAGTAAAGCTCCGCTGTATATCACAGTGGTAGATAAAGTGAAGCTCCTCTGTATGATATCACAGTCGTAGATATAGTGAAGCTCCTCTGTGTGATGTCACAGTAGTAGATATAGTGAAGCTCCCATGTATGATATCACAGTGGTACGTATAGTGAAGTTCTTCTGTGTGATATCACCGTGGTAGACTTAGTGAAGCTCCCCTGTATGATATCACAGTGGTAGATATAGTGAATTTCCTCTGTGTGATATCACAGTGGTAGACATAGTGAAGTTCCCCATATGATATCACAGTGATAGATATCGTGAAGCTCCCCTGTATGATACCACAGTGGTAGATATAGTGAAGATCCTCTGTGTGACATCACAGTGGTAGATATAGTGAAGATCCCCTGTAGGATATCACAGTGGTAGATATAGTGAAGCTGCTCTGTGTGATATCACAGTGGTACATACAGTGAAGCTCCTCTGTGTGATATCACAGTGGTAGAAATAGTGAAGCTCCTCTGTATGATATCACAGTGGTAGATATAGTGAAGCTCCTCTGTATGATATCACAGTGGTAGATATAGTGAAGATCCTTTGTGTGATATCACAGTGGTAGATACAGTGAAGCTGCTTTGTATGATATCACAGTGGTAGATACAGTGAAGCTGCTCTGTATGATATCACAGTGGTAGATATAGTGAAGATCCTTTGTGTGATATCACAGTGGTAGATACAGTGAAGCTGCTTTGTATGATATCACAGTGGTAGATATTGTGAAGCTCCTCTGTGTGATATCACAGTGGTAGATACAGTGAAGCTTGTCAGTGTGATATCACAGTGGTAGATATAGTGAAGCTGCTCTGTATGATATAACAGTGGTAGATATAGTGAAGCTCCCCTGTATGATATCACAGTGGTAGATACACTGAAGCTGCTCTGTATGATATCACAGTGGTAGCTACAGCACAGCGCCTCTGTGTGATATCACAGTGGTAGATACAATGAAGCTCCTCTGTGTGATATCACAGTGGTAGATATAGTGAAGGTCCCCTGTATGATATCACAGTGGTGGATATAGTGAAGCTCCTCTGTATGATATCACAGTGGTACATATAATGAAGCTGCCCTGTATAATATCACAGAGGTAGATATAGTGAAGCTCCTCTGTATGATATCACAGTGGTAGATATAGTGAAGCTCCTCTGTGTGATATCACAGTGGTAGATACAGTGAAGCTGCTCTGTATGATATCACAGTGGTAGATATAGTGAAGTTCCTCTGTGTGATATCACACTGGTAGATACAGTGAAGCTGCTCTGTATGATATCGCAGTGATAGATATAGTGAAGCTCCTCTGTGTGATATCACACTGGTAGATACAGTGAAGCTGCTCTGTATGATATCACAGTGGTAGATATTGTGAAGCTCCTCTGTGTGATATCACAGTGGTAGATACAGTGAAGCTCGTCTGTGTGATATCACAGT
This sequence comes from Homo sapiens, assembly GCF_000001405.40. Taxonomy (NCBI): domain Eukaryota; kingdom Metazoa; phylum Chordata; class Mammalia; order Primates; family Hominidae; genus Homo; species Homo sapiens. The sequence continues at coordinate 195,503,370 of NC_000003.12, forward strand.
GGTAGATATAGTGAAGCTGCTCTGTATGATATAACACTGGTAGATACAGTGAAGATCCCCTGTATGATATCACAGTGGTAGATACACTGAAGCTGCTCTGTATGATATCGCAGTGGTAGATATAGCACAGCTCCTCTGTGTGATATCACAGTGGTAGATACAATGAAGCTCCTCTGTATGATATCACAGTGGTAGATATAGTGAAGCTACCCTGTGTGATATCACAGTGGTAGATATAGTGAAGCTCCTCTGTATGATATCACAGTGGTGGATATAGTGAAGCTCCTCTGTATGATATCACAGTGGTAGATACAGTGAAGCAGCTCTGTATGATATCACAGTGGTACATACAGTGAAGCTCCTCTATATGATATCACAGTGATAGATATAGTGAAGCTCCTCTGTGTGATCTCACAGTGGTAGATATAGTGAAGCTGCTCTGTATGATATCAATAGTGGAGCTGCTCTGTATATCATCACAGTTTTAGTTATAGAGAAGCTCCCCTGTATGATATCACAGTGGTAGATATAGTGAAGCTGCTCTGTATGATATCACAGTGGTAGATACAGCGAAGATCCTCTATGTGATATCACAGTGGTAAGATACAGTGAAGCTCCTCTGTGTGATATCACAGTGGTACATATAGTGAAGCTCCTCTGTGTGATATCACAGTGGTAGATACAGTGAAGCTGCTCTGTATGATATCACAGTGGTAGATATTGTGAAGCTCCTCTGTGTGATATCACAGTGGTAGATACAGTGAAGCTTGTCAGTGTGATATCACAGTGGTAGATATAGTGAAGCTGCTCTGTATGATATAACAGTGGTAGATATAGTGAAGCTCCCCTGTATGATATCACAGTGGTAGATACACTGAAGCTGCTCTGTATGATATCACAGTGGTAGCTATAGCACAGCTCCTCTGTGTGATATCACAGTGGTAGATACAATGAAGCTCCTCTGTGTGATATCACAGTGGTAGATATAGTGAAGGTCCCCTGTATGATATCACAGTGGTGGATATAGTGAAGCTCCTCTGTATGATATCACAGTGGTAGATATAATGAAGCTGCCCTGTATAATATCACAGAGGTAGATATAGTGAAGCTCCTCTGTATGATATCACAGTGGTAGATATAGTGAAGCTCCTCTGTGTGATATCACAGTGGTAGATACAGTGAAGCTGCTCTGTATGATATCACAGTGGTAGATATAGTGAAGTTCCTCTGTGTGATATCACACTGGTAGATACAGTGAAGCTGCTCTGTATGATATCACAGTGATAGATATAGTGAAGCTCCTCTGTGTGATATCACACTGGTAGATACAGTGAAGCTGCTCTGTATGATATCACAGTGGTAGATACTGTGAAGCTCCTCTGTGTGATATCACAGTGGTAGATACAGTGAAGCTCGTCTCTGTGATATCACTGTGGTAGATATAGTGAAGCTGCTCTGTATGATATAACACTGGTAGATACAGTGAAGATCCCCTGTATGATATCACAGTGGTAGATACACTGAAGCTGCTCTGTATGATATCGCAGTGGTAGATATAGCACAGCTCCTCTGTGTGATATCACAGTGGTAGATACAATGAAGCTCCTCTGTATGATATCACAGTGGTAGATATAGTGAAGCTACCCTGTATGATATCACAGTGGTGGATATAGTGAAGCTCCTCTGTATGATAGCACAGTGGTGGATATAGTGAAGCTCCTCTGTATGATATCACAGTGGTAGATACAGTGAAGCAGCTCTGTATGATATCACAGTGGCAGATACAGTGAAGCTCCTCTATATGATATCACAGTGGTAGATATAGTGAAGCTCCTCTGTGTGATATCACACTGGTAGATATAGTGAAGCTGCTCTGTGTGATATCACAGTGGTAGATATAGTGAAGCTGCTCTGTATAACAGTGGGAGATATAGTGAAGCTGCTCTGTATGATATCAACAGTGCAGCTGCTCTGTATGATATCACAGTGGTAGTTATAGAGAAGCTCCCCTGTATGATATCACAGTGGTAGATATAGTGAAGCTGCTCTGTATGATATCACAGTGGTAGATACAGTGAAGCTCCTCTGTGTGATATCACAGTGGTAGATATAGTGAAGCTCCTCTGCATGATATCACAGTCGTAGATATAGTGAAGCTCCTCTGTGTGATGTCACAGTAGTAGATATAGTGAAGCTCCCATGTATGATATCACAGTGGTACGTATAGTGAAGTTCCTCTGTGTGATATCACAGTGGTAGATTTAGTGAAGCTCCCGTGTATGATATCACAGTGGTAGATATAGTGAAGTTCCTCTGTGTGATATCACAGTGGTAGATATAGTGAAGCTCCCCTATATGATATCACAGTGATAGATATCGTGAAGCTCCCGTGTATGATACCACAGTGGTAGATATAGTGAAGATCCTCTGTGTGACATCACAGTGGTAGATATAGTGAAGATCCCCTGTAGGATATCACAGTGGTAGATATAATGAAGCTGCTCTGTATGATATCACAGTGGTAGATATAGTGAAGCTCCCCTATATGATATCACAGTGATAGATATCGTGAAGCTCCCCTGTATGATACCACAGTGGTAGATATAGTGAAGATCCTCTGTGTGACATCACAGTGGTAGATATAGTGAAGATCCCCTGTAGGATATCACAGTGGTAGATATAGTGAAGCTGCTCTGTGTGATATCACAGTGGTAGATATAGTGAAGCTACTCTGTGTGATATCACAGTGGTACATACAGTGAAGCTCCTCTGTGTGATATCACAGTGGTAGATATAGTGAAGCTCCTCTGTATGATATCACAGTGGTAGATACAGTGAAGCTCCCCTGTATGATATCACAGTGGTAGATATAGTGAAGCTCCTCTGTATGATATCACAGTGGTAGATATAGTGAAGCTGCTGTGTATATCACAGTGGTAGATATAGTGAAGCTCCCCTGTATATCACAGTGGCAGATATAGTGAAGCTCCTGTGTGTGATATCACAGTGGTAGATATACTGAAGCTCCTCTGTATGATATCACAGTGGTAGATATAGTGAAGCTCCTCTGTATGATATCACAGTGGTAGACACAGCGAAGCTCCTCTGTGTGATATCACAGTGGTAGATATGGTGAAGCTCCTCTGTATGATATCACAGTGGTAGACACAGCGAAGCTCCTCTGTGTGATATCACAGTGGTAGATATGGTGAAGCTCCTCTGTATGATATCACAGTGCTAGGTATAGTGAAGCTACTCTGTGTGATATCACAGTGGTAGATATAGTGAAGCTCCCCTGTATGATATCACAGTAGTAGATATAGTGAAGCTCCTCTGTGTGATTTCACAGTGGCAGATATAGTGAAGCTCCTCTGTCTGATATCACAGTGGTAGATACAGTGACGCTCCTCTGTGTGATATCACAGTGGTAGATATAGTGAAGCTCCTCTGTGTGATATCACAGTGGGAGGTATAGTGAAGCTCCCCCGTATGATATCACAGTTGTAGATATAGTGAAGCTCCTCTGTATGATATCACATTAGTAGATATAGTGAAGCTCCTCTGTGTGATATCACAGTGGTAGGTACAGTGAAGCTCCTCTGTATGATATCACAGTGGTAGATATAGTGAAGCTCCTCTGTATATCACAGTGGTAGATATAGCGCAGCTCCTCTGTATGACATCACAGTGGTAGATACACATCATTATGCATTTGTCCAAACCCATAGAATGTAGTATACCCAGAGTGAACCCAAATGTAAACTATGGACTTTGGGTCAGTGTCATTGTAGGTTCATTGATTATAACAAATGTACCACTTTGTGGGGGATATTGGTTATGGGGGAGGTTATGTATGTGTGAGGGCAGATGGTACATAAGAAATCTGTGTAGTTTTCTCTCAGTTTTGCTGTGAAGCTAAAACTGCTCTAAAAAATAAAGCTTATTTTAAAAAAATCACAAAACTTTCTTTGACTCATGTTCTAGTTGGAGCACAAAAGTGGAGAACTGCTATCTTTTCCAAAAGTGTTAAATGAGTTCATGAAACAGGGCTGGTCACCATTCAAGAGGTATTACATTTCAGTAACAACCCCTTCACCCTAGTCAGAGATTTTTGGCAATTTCTAACATCCAGAAACACAGACAGGAGGCTCGAAATGAAAAGAAGCCTCTTGGTATCAAGGAAAACAGTCACAAAGCCCACACACATTAAGCTGGTAATGATCCTCAGATGTCTTACTGTTGAAAAAGCCCAGCATGTTAAAGCTCAGGAAGAATCCCTTCAATGGGTTCTTGAGGACAAGACTGTATTTCAGATAGTATAATAATCAGTGTTCTGGGTTAGGCATGGTGACTTGTGCCTGTAATCCCAGCACTTTGGGAGGCCGGAGGCCGAGGTGGGCAGATCGCTTGAGCTCAGGAGTTTGAGACCAGCCTGGGCAACATGGTGAAACCCCATCCCCACCAAAAATACAAAAAAAAAAAAAAAAAAAATTAGCTGGGCATGATGGCACATTCCTGTAGTCTCAGTTACTGGGGGGCTGAGGCGAGAGGATCGCTTGAGCCCAGGAGGTGGAGGCTGCAGTGAGCTGAGATCGCGCCACTGCACTCCAGCCTGGGCGACAGAGTGAGACGCCGTCTCAAAAAAAAAAAAAAAAAAAAAAATATATATATATATATATATAACAATAATCAATGTTCATCATAAGAACAAGCTGGAGTCAATGAGTAAAGATTATGTTTGGTTTTTGAATATTGGAAAATGCACCACTCTCTAGCAAGATTTCCAAAAATGCTTACAAGCTGGAGTTTTGGTACAAGGCCTCAGCTGATTTGAGAAATTTTACTTCAGTGTAAGAGCTTGTTTTCAGATTATCCTGAATGTGTTAATTCTTAATACTCTCCACTCTGGAAAAAAGATAACCACCAAAGCGAGACAGGGCCACAGTGGTTCAGTCCAAGGAGAGATTTATTGTGAAAATGAAGAGTCAGGGTAACTGTATTCTAGTCTCTCCTCTGCCAAGAACCAGTTGAGTAATATTGACTTCCCTTTGCTTGCCTCTAAAAATTAAGGAAATTAGTTATTTCTGGTTTCTTTCTGGTTTCTAAGGAAATTAGCTGATTTTTGGTTTCTTTCTGGTTCTAATATTCAAACATGAAACATGAGGAAACATTAATAGAAAGGAAAAGGTGAATCACATTATGAGCAGGTATCATCCTTTTATTCACTCTGGCCATACTTGTTGAGAGTTCTATTGAGCTGGCCCATACCAAGCTCTGAGAATACTGTAGTAAGGGAAAGAGCTCCTGTCTTCATGGAGCTTTTTATTTAGTGAGGAAACCAGGCAACAAGCAAATAAACCAACAAGTTGAGGAAACAGTCTGAGAACCATAGGAAAGACATCTTTTTTACATGGAATAGGCAGGAAATAGCACCTCTGGGGGAGTTACGTTTGAACCTAAGAATGAGCAGAAAAGTTGCATGAAAAATTAGTAAAGAGCATTTCCAGCAGAGGGGCTTGCTAGTATCTAGGCCCTAACAGAGAAGAGAAACTTAGTAAACTGTACAAACTGAATAAAAAACCAAAACAAAATTTCTAATGACTGAAATAATTAAGTAGGAGTGGCACAAAAAATTTGAACAGGTATGTGGGAGCCAGTACAAAGTTTTGTCAGTCAGTCTAAGACACCTGGACTCATTCTTAAGGATGGTAGAGAAATTGCTGAAAGGCTTTAAGTAGGACAGCAACACTTACTGCTTTTTAAAAAATGGACTGGAGGCTGGGCGTGGGGGCTCACGCCTGTAATCCCAGCACCTTGGGAGGCTCAGGCGGGCGGATCATGAGGTCAGATCGAGACCATCCTGGCTAACATGGTGAAACCCCGTCTCTACTAAAAATACAAAAAAAAAAAAAAATTAGCCGGGCGCCTGTAGTCGCAGCTACTCGGGAGGCTGAGGTAGGAGAATGGCGTGAACCCGGGAGGCAAAGTTGCAGTGAGCTGAGATCACACCATTGCACTCCAGCCTGGGGGACAGAGCGAGACTCCGTCTCAAAAAAAAAAAAAAAAAAGGACTGGAAAGCTGGGTGCAGTGGCTCATTCCTGTAATCCCAGCACTTTGGAAAGCTGTCGCAGGAGGATCACTTGAAGCTAGGAGTTCAAGACCAGCCTGGGTAACCTAGCAAAACCCCCTCTCTACAAAATGTTTTAAAATTAGCTAGGCATAGTGGCACATCCCTATAGTCCTAGCCACTTGGGAGGCTGAGGTGAGAGGATCAATTGAGTCCATGAGTTTTAGGATGCAGTGAGTTATAAATGTGCCACTATACTCCAGCACGGGCAACCGAGCAAGACTCTGCCTCTTAAAAAGTTTTTTAAAAAGTATGATGGCTTGACTAAGGTATCTACAGTAGAGACTGAAGATGGTGAGAGATTTAGATACATGATGAAGGTATGGACTGGATTTGAGTATTTGAGAGAAAGAAATGAATCAAGGTAGACAATGTGGTGCTCAGTTATTGATTTTGGGAGAGTGTTTGGAGTGGGGGATAGAGCTATTAAGAATAGTTGGGAGGGGCCGGGTGTGGTGGCTCACACCTGTAATCTCAGCACTCTGGGAGGCCGAGGCAGGCAGATTGCCTGAGCTCAGGAGTTTGAGACCAGTCTGACTAACATGGTGAAACCCCGTCCCTACTAAAAAATACAAAAAAATTAGCCAGGCGTGGTGGCTTGCACTGTAATTCCAGCTACTTGGGAGGCTGAAGCAGGGGAATTCCTTGAACCAGGGAGGTAGAGGTTGCAGTGAGCCGAGATCCTGCCACTGCACTCCAGCTGGGCAACAGAGCAAGATTCTGTCTCAGGAAAAAAAAAAAAAGAACAGTTTGGAGGAAAAAAACTCAGTTTCGAACATGATGTTTATGATATACATAAGACATGTAAGACATGTAAGCAATAGACATCGTGATTCTTCTGTTCTACCTCTTTTATATATATTTTGCTTTTTGTCACAGTGATTATATATCTTTGTTCTAAGAACCACTTTTTATTTACCTTTTCAATGTGCATTCATTCCCCAGCAAAATTCCTGAGCACATACTTGGTGCTTAATAAAGGTTTAATAATGTTCTAAAAAACAAACATCTTTTCCTCTCAGCTTTATCAGTGTGTCCTCACTGAGTCCAGAAAATTTCAGACTCTAGGTCTACAGAACAATGCTTGAAGCTTAGAGTAATAGAGAATATTATTCTGGGTTCAATTTACTTAGTAATCTGTTCAATTCCACCCCATCTCCCAGGACTGTTTTTAAGAGTCCTAGATTGGATTACATACTTTGTGATTTACCATGAAAAACTAACTCTCAAAAGCTGGGCATAGGGCCGGGTGCGGTGGCTCACGCCTGTAATCCCAGCACTTTGGGAGGCCAAGGCAGGCGGATCACAAGGTCAGGAGATCAAGACCATCCTGGCTAACACAGTGAAACCCCGTCTCTACTAAAAATACAAAAAAAAAAAAAAAAAAAAAAAAATTAGCCAGGTGTGGTGGCAGGCGCCTGTAGTCCCAGCTACTCAGGAGGCTGAGGCAGGAGAATGGCGTGAAACTGGGAGGTGGAGCTTGCAGTGAGCCAAGATCACACCACTGCACTCCAGCCTGGGCAACAGAGCAAGGCTTCATCTCAAAAAAAAAAAAAAAAAAAAAAAAAAGCTGGGCATTGGCCGGGCACAGTGGTTCATGCCTGTAATCCCAGCACTTTGGGAGGTGGATCACTTGAGGCCAGAAGTTCAAGACCAGCCTGGCCAACATGGCAAAACGCCATCTCTACTAAAAATACAAAAATTAGCTGGGCAGTGGTGCGTGCCTGTAGTCCCAGCTACGCGGGAGGCTTGAGGTGGGAGGATCACTTGAACCTGGGAGGCAGAGGTTGCAGTGAGCTGAAATCACACCATTGTGCTCTAGCCTGGGCGACAGAGCGAGACTCTGTTCTCCAAAAAAAAAAAAAAAAAAAAAAAAAAAATGCTGGGTATAGCTGTGTGTACTTGTAGTCCCAGCTCCTGGGGAGGCTTGAGGTGGGAGGATCCCTTGAAACCAGGAGTTGAGTCCAGCCTGGGCAATAGAGTGAGCCTCTGTCTCTAAAATACACACAAAGACTCAGACACTCCTACTTGGGGAAGCAGGGACCAGTTTGCTTTTCAAAGTTAGCAGTGAACCAAAGCACATTTCCTAAGACAGTTTCAAGCTAAAGCAAGACTTCCATATTGTGGTTTTGACCCAGCCCTTCCTTCCCCAGCCCCTTGTCCCCCAGTAAATCAACTTAGGGATTATTAAAACAGCAGCAGAAGCTTAAATGGCAACAATCCACAAATCTGCTTCAACTTCTGAAATCCAACATTTGTACCAGGCTTTTGTGTTAAAAATCATCTGACATTTCTGATTTTTGTGAGAACTGTCTTGCTTAGGAAAAATTTTGAGGTAGGTGACTAGAGACATTGTATTAGTCTGTTCTCACACTGCTATAAAGAACTACCTGAGACTGGGTTATTTATTTAAAAAAGAGGTTGAATTAATTCACAGTTCCACAGGCTTAACAAGAAGCATGACTGGGAGGCCTCAGGAAACCTACAATCATGGTGGAAGGCAAAGGGGAAGTAGGGACATCTTCACATGTGGCAGGAGAGAGAGAGAAAAGGAGTAAGTGCTACACACTTTTAAACAACTAACTCTCCTGAGAACTCACTCCTCATCACAAGAACAACAAGGGGGAAATCTACCCCCATGATCCAATCACCTCCTATTGGGTCCCTCCCCAACAATGGGGATTACAATTCAATGTGAGGTTTGGGTGGGGACACAGAGCCAAACCAAACATATCGGAGATCTTCATTTGGTACGAAGAAAATCCACATAAAACTCTGATAAATGGCAGTGGCTTGCTAGCCCAGCCTTCTCAGTCTCACCTACCAGAAAGGCCTCCTGAGAATGGCTGCAGAGGGTGAATGTCTTCTTACTCCTTCCTTGTTCTTGCAAAGCAGCGCTCCCTCTCTGCTCTGCACACCTAAGCTTGAAACTCTTTAAAGGCAGGGAAATAATCTTATGTGTGTATTTCCCAATTTAGCTTGGCACAGTGCCCTATGATAAAATGCTTATTTTTCAATTGAGAGTGTCTTTTACATAGGAAGATAAAAACATAGAATTCTGACGCTAAGTAATTGCTTATACAGGGATACTTCCAAGACCAAGAAGCCTAACTAAACGAGAATGTAACTAAACTTTGCTTCCTATGTTCATTTCATTAGTCTATTATTGGTAACACTTTTTCAGACTGAACCATTAGAACAAGGCATACTGAAAAGCTGCTTATAATCCTCTTTGCTTAATAAGTGAGGTCAAATGATATTAAGATATAAAAGATTAGCCTGCAGAATCCTCTTCTAGTTCTAGTCAACACTGTCATCAATCCACACACAATTAAACAGATAGGAGCAATTTATAGGCGTTATCTTCCAGTTGCAACAATTCCCATTGGTAATAGAACTGAAATGCCGAACACTTGGCAGACTTTACTGAAAAAAATTTCAGGTTGGGCAGTTGAGATAAAATCATGACTAAACACTTGCCAAATGCATCCTCACTCACCTACTCTCAGCGTTACCTCCCCCAATAATTCCTCAAATCAAAAACCTGATGAGTCGAATCCCAAAACCACTTTGCTGGAGTAACCAAGTTTGGGGGTATGAGCCACAGACCAGAGACACTTGTTATCTGCTCTTCTATTTTCTTGACGGGTAGCAGACGTGCTCTTGTCAACCAACTATGCAAAGAGTGGACAGCGAGTGTAAGACATTCCAAAAATCTGCTTGAGCAGCAGGTCTTTGGAATACTAGTCTATCAGTACAAAACCACTGCAGCTTATAACCAACCACAACTACACATTAATCTGTCCTGAATATATATTTTGCAGTTTCTTGCATAAGTTACCAAAAAGTAAAATCTTATGTTTGGCAAGTTGTATCCGATCCATCAATACCCTGCAGTTATTGCTACCATGTCTTCCTTCTTTCACTGATAAACCATTCTCTTCCTCTTTTAGGAGAAAGTCCAAGTTTGATATATGAGAGACCCTGGCCTATTGCCCTACTTGGGATGTTATTTGATGGACAAAATGGGGTGGTTACAGTGAGATATGTTTGAAAAAGGTAAAACTAAGTTTTAAATAGGTTCCTATAAGCAGGACTGCTCAGACTCCTTATTATGATAATAATGTACATAAGTCTCCAAGAGGCTGGGGAATAAAGTACACAGTATGTGCGAGGCTTGTTTATTGCCTCATTTTCACGGAGCATGGTGTGGGATAAGGGTTTCATGGAACACACTGGGCAATCCTGTGTTGGGTACATGTTGGCTTTTATAGGCTGACACGGTCCTTGACTTGTTAAGATGGATTGTATGAAAAAAATCACGTTCTGAGCTTGAAACAGCCTGCTAAGAAACAAACTTGCAAAACACAACCAAATGACATGCATTCATCTCCAGCCACTGGCTATTTGTGCTTTTGAGCGATTTTTCCTAGATGGCACACAAACTGCAAACAAAATTAAGTTATTTCCAATTTTTCAGATTTTAAAAAACCCCAGAAGCTCAAACACCTGAAAAATGCTACTCCTAAAGCATAGTTATGGATCAATAATCCATATACATTTATTTGTAAGGTACAATTTCTAAAATGTTTTCTACATCAAAAAATGTATGAATAAAGACCATGAAATTTAGTTAGGTTTGGATTTAAATCCTATCATTTAGCATGTGTGAGGCACTGAAATGATTAATAAATAAGTTGACCAAGAGCACTTTCCTCACTTACAAAGTGTAGATAAGAATGCTTGCCTTTGTGTGGTGGTTTTGAGGGTTAGATGTAAGGGACTGAGCACAATGCTACTAAGACTGAGGAAACTACTCGGCCACAGCGTAATCCATGATCCACTCCTGGTATCCAGGGCAAGTGGTCGATGGATTATGGTCTTGAGATAGCTAAGTAACAATAAAATAAAATCCACACACAGGCAATTGTCATATTATTGTATTTTATTACAGTACGTGTAGTGTATACTAACTGAAAGGGAAAAATGTAAACAAAACCAAAGTCATGGGGAAAATGGCATCTTGCTTTAATCTTCAACTGAAAGTTACCTTAACAATCCATTTACACCATTATGTCAAATTTTAGTCATCTCTGCAGAATTTTAGACAAATGAAAACAGACAAGGTAACACCAAATAGTTAAGCACAGAAAGTGATACTGATTAAAAAGTTGAAAGTAAAATCTACCTTGGCTAGAACTGAACATTCAGATCTGTCTCTCCAGAGGAAAATCTAACTTGAATCATAATGGTTCATATTTTGACTAGTTCATACCCTATCAATTACCTACTTATGACTTGAACATACCTTTTCTCAGCTGCATGTGACAGCCTAAAACCCCACTGAGCATGCTGCTTGGCATGCCTTACTCCTCTGAAATCATCATCTACTTTCTAAAAACCAGAAAATGAGTTTGTGATTTAAATTTCAAAAAATAGTTTGTAGAAAACACAAAAAGAATCAACTGTTTAAAGTCTTATCCTTTTCTTCACTCTATGACAGCTACTTCTACAAAAAAAAAAAAAGAGTATGTGGGTACTTTCTAAGAACTCAGAAACAAGAAAACCAAAATCAGAGGGTGCATGAATATATGTGCACGCACATGTACAGACTTAATCTCTACATCCCCCAAGACAGATTTAAACAGGTAATCCCAACATTTTAAATTCAGAAACCAGAGACAAACAGTTTTGTTTCTAAATCAGTGGTATTCCTAGCTGAAATGTTTAGAATACTGCACTCACAGTTCAGCAGTACTTTGATTATATATCTCATTCAAAAAATCAAAATAATGGCCACATTCTTCTAACAGCAAGGAATTCTCCCACTTTTTATTTATTTTCAAATACTGCTGTTTCCATAAACCTGCAAGTGGAAGATAAGCTGTTCAATAAAAGCCTTCTTTCATATATGTATCTATATATAAAATATACAGACGTTATTTTAGAAGTCTGTTCATATAACAGATTATTTTGGTACTAACAAAAGTTGTACACAATTCATCAATTGTATGGCTAGAAATGAAACCATAACTAAACCAAGACACACAGGGCTTTCCTGCACTTGGTTGAAGGAAAAAATTCCACCTAATTCTTACTGCGTTAGAAGAATAAAGCACGTTTGTCATAGTACACATTATCGTAGTCCCTTAAAGCAGGGACTATTTAACAATGTCCAGGCTTACTTCTGTCTGTACATTCAGGAATAATCATATCACTGGTTACATACAATTCTCATGCAAAGAAAACCCTCAAAAAACAAACAAAAAAAACCCTCAGTTAGTTGTTTTCTTAAGTCTAATTAATCCAAACTAATAATAGCCATTTAATTAGCAATCTGTAAATCAGAGAGGTATAGAAATTCAGCAGCTAAACTGTATTTCCCACCTATAGCACTGCTGCTACTCAAACTATTTTCTTCACGTATTAGAAGAATTCATAGGCATTGATGGTCAAAATAAGAATTTCAACATAGCAGCAAATGACAGAAGAGTGAGAGAAAGAGCTCCTAATGTGGTGACAGTCTTAATGATCCTTTAAAAGGTAGAAGATTGTGTGCGTATGTGTGGAAAGGAGTAGGAAAGAAAAGCAGGAGGTTAAGACAGGTATTTAAAGGGAATGGCGAGATAGCTACATTAGAATATTTATTTTTTTAAAAAACTGCTCTGAAGTCTGCCCAGTGTACCAAAAACATTAAAAAACAAAAACAAACAAAAACCCCCCAAAAACAAAAAACAGAGCAGACATTGGTGAAAGTTTAACCTGATAATTTATTTGTGGGGAAAAAAGCTAGTTTTGATGAGAAAAAGTTCAGTCCTTTCCTTGTAAACACAAAGAAACTCAACAGGAATTTTAAAAATAGTAGGTCAGAAAATGCAACAGTAACTCTTATAATTCTTTTCAATTAAACAGACAAATCAAGTTGAAGACAAGTGTTAAAATACTATTCAGCCTAAATATTTATCAGTCTATATATCCTGTTGTTCAATTGGCTTTTGATTTTTAAAAAAATCAAATCAATAAACTTTGTAAGAGCTACCACATTTCAAGTGATGAAAATAAATTAGTTCCCCCCCAAAGATATTGTTTAACTTCTAAAGCATAAAAAGCTCTATAATATCTTATACAAATTAACCAGTGTTTTTACAAAAGTAATGCAGTTTTGGACTGATGATATTACACTGTATTTGTGGTAAAGTACTAGGCACAAGAATATATATATCGATTAGGCATTTTCAGTCTAATCAGTCTCTAAGTTTATCATTTAATTCTTGGCAATATATAATAACTGGTATGCATTTTGGTACTTAAGTCATGAATTGTGAAGAACAAGAAGCAACGTACTATAGTCACAGGGTTTACATCTAACAAACAATTGCAGTGTTGAACAAATCTCGTCTATGAACTTCGTAATTTGTTTTGCTGTTGGTCACTTGGAGTAGATCCTGCAAAGATAAAAGAAAAAGTCAACATAATTTGTTATATGTTGTCAACCCTGGCTAAAGTTCCCTTCTATTAGCATGCATGACAAGCAAATATAAAAATTTTAAAAACAAATAAGGTATATTTCATGTAGGCTGATTTAGACTGAAATTGAAGAATCTATACACTCCCCTAAATAGTCTAAAGAACAGAAGTGTCTACTTGCTGATAAAACAAACAGGTTTCAGATTGAACATTTCTGTAAGTCACAGGTGGAAAGGTAAGAGTTTACGACAACTCCAATATCCAGAGCTATAAAAAGATACATATTTATTACCTGAAAGCTATAAAATATCACCTAAGAGTCCAAACATGTCATTTTCTCCAATGAATTGTGTGAATGGGGGAGGAAAGGGGGAAGGGAGGAGACTGGCACTGTCCCAAAACTAATGGGTTCTATAGAACTTAGAGATCTGAAAAGCTGGTAAAATGTTAAGGGCCCAAAAAGGGTAGGGGGTAAATAAGGTACTTATTTCCCTAAGTCTTATCCTATTCTTGTGGGTTTTATAATGCTAAGCAGGATATACTCCTTTGCAAGGTGTACTTCATCTCCAGTGAAGAAAAATCAGGCACTGACCTAATACAAAAT